>NC_000001.11:50462925-50614441 GCF_000001405.40 Homo sapiens | reverse complement strand
CACTCACATAAACATTCTTTTTTTTCCCCCCTTAACTCTAATATTTCAATACATTTATTCAGCTTGAAGTTACAGGTAAACTAGTTTTTTGAATAATCGGACTTAGTAGTACACAACAATAGTTTCTGCCTGGTTTGAAGAGTTAACACTTCACAGCTTTCAGATTTGTGGCATTGACGTAAATAAGTGCTGCAGGTATGAGTCTGCCCATAGAATACATGCTTGTCTTGGGAATGGATCATTCTTTTACCATGTGCCAAAATATTTTTGAAAAGAGTTTTGGATCTGAGGGTTTTCCCATTTTTGTCTCTTGGTTTTTTTGTGTGTGTTTTTTTTCTTTTTTTTTCAGACAGAGTCTCACTCTATTGCCAGGCTGGAATGCAGTGGCACAATCCCGACTCACTGCAACCTCCACCTCTCAGGTTCAAGCAGTTCTCCTGCCTCAGCCTCCCAAGTAGCTGAGATTACAGGCACGTGCCACCACGCCCGGATAATTTTTGTATTTTTAGTATAGACAGGGTTTCACTATGTTGGCCAGGACGGTCTTGATCTCTTGACCTTGAGGTCTGCCCGCCTCGGCCTCCCAAAGTGCTGGGGTTACAGGTGTGAGCCACCATGCCCTGCCTGGTTTTTTTGTTTGTTTGTTTTTTTAATATAAAAGATTTTTCTTGCAATGCATGTGTATATATAAGAACCAGTAAATAAACACATGTATATTGAGTGATTACTTACTATTTCTTGTATTTACTTGAGTGGGAGTCCTAAAAAGTATAATTCCTTGTGTATTATTCTTATGTGAGACATTTCAAATCTGTTGGATTTTTTTAATGTTTAATATACATTATAAATTTGAAAATGTTTTTATTAGCTACATTATTCATCCTCATAAATTTAAGAGCAATCATGTCTTACAACGTAGAGCTGAATGACATTTGGATTACTGTAATTCCCATGAAGTCCACAGAGATGAAATACATTAGAATGCAAAGCTAATTATACAGGAACATTAAGTATGAAATGAAAACAGTATGTCTGTCAAAAAATGAAGATGCGTAAGTTCAAATTATGTTGAAGGTAAATTTGGTCTTTATTTTGCATATTTTGATTGGTAGTTTTAAGTCTTTGTGACTACTGAATTAAATTTAATATGCCATATCATGTCAGAATGCTTTTGAACCTTATACTTTTCACTGAGGCCCAGATGTCAATCAGATAGTTATTTAAACTCTAATGATAGTTTTTAGTGTTTATCTCACTTTGGAGTGGTTTCCAGGCCTTGGATTATAGGACTAGGTAGGTTATATATTTCTCTAGAAAATTACAAGTCTTTCATATTTTATCTTGGCAAGGAAAGTAGGAAAAGTACCCATATAAGTTAGAGCATTAGACATTTATTGCATGGCATATACAAAGCAACCTACTAAGAGCCCCATGGCAGCTAAAAATGAGAATATAAGATCCAGGCTGTGTCTTCAAGGACCTTAGAGTCACCTAAACACAGATACAATGAAAGTTGTAGTTCTTTTAAATCACAAAACACTAATTCTAGAGCTTCACAATAACGGTTTTAAGAGTTGAGCAGAAGGAAAAAAATTACTTGGCTAGGCTGAGCCAGCAAGGATTAACTGGCAAGGTGAAATTACTTTTTCTTGTTTCTAGATAGTACCCATTTATGCTGGTGTGCCTAACATGGTATAGTTAATTCAGACTCTTTTTTCCTAGGAGGAAAAGCCAGGACAAGATGCCCAGCAGCACTATGTCCATGTCCCGAGACCAAAGTTGTTAGCATGACTGCCTAGGTTTTGCCAAGGAATTAGATGCTGCTGGAAAAATATCCAGAGCTCTTATATTTGCTATCCAAAGAGTTCCACAGTGTTGAGGGGTAAATGGCATCTCACTATTGACTAGACATGAGCCAAGTGGCTCGTTGGTACCCTTCATGCATACAAAGCAGGCTTGAGATGTATCCTTGCATATTTGAAGGTTCTGTGGTTATGATGAGCTGAAATGACCACTGATTAATACAGTAGCTCTCTAAAATAATGAGGTTTCTCCACTAACGGAACCTCTTTATTTATCAAACTTATAATAAAATGAGGAATCTGCTTGAGGTAAAATAACCTTTTCATTGTAACTGAAGATTTCGTCTTGATTCTCTGAATTTGTTGTGATTGTAGAATAAGGCAAAGGGCTTGTTTTGATAAGATCCTAGACTGTTATAATCAATATATCATGTGTTGACTTTATATGCTTTTGTTAATGTGACTATCTAAATGTTAGGAAAATGAAGAAAAATATCTTCAGAAAATGTTACATTTCTAATAATGCACTTTTCCTGTGTATGATGGTTTTTAAATTTTTCAAACTATTAAGATACTGAAATTATGTGGCCATAACAAGATTACCATCGAACTGTTTTCGTTCACCAATATGTGTGATTTTCTACAAACAAGCAATTTCTTCTGTTGAATTTCCTGCTCAGCGTCATTATTTTGCCCTTTGCTTTTCATGTGTTTAACACTTTCTGTTTCAAAGCCAGTTTCCATGAGCTCTGCCTTGTGTCCTCCAGCCTGTGCATGTGTATATACGTGTGTGGGTATGTGGGGAGGTTGGTGGGGGGTGAGAAATGACAGTTAATTCCTGTTAACTCTGACCAAGTAATGTACGGTGGGTATTTGTGAATCAAATTGTGCATTGTGAAAAATACGTATCTGTCCACTCCTGTTTTCCTAGTGAACATTAGCATTGATTATGATGTGGACATATTTCTCAGACTTTCTGGGTCTTCATCTAAATAGCAGCAGCAAATAATGAAGTATTCAGAGCTTAACCATCATCATCTCATGTTTCCTTGAGTTTAAATTGAAGTAAAAATGGAGTAAAAGACCATCTTATTTATTTTTAAAATCTGCTATCCGCAGAAAGTAATTAACTCAAGATCCACAATTAGCCTCACAGCAGTCCATATTAACTACCTCCAACTATCCTAGGTCTTTCAGAGGTGGCATAATTTTGAGATTATTTTGCACTTGAAACAGAGAGGCTTATAATAACTAGCTTGAAGCACATTTAAGGGTGTGAGGTTTTTCCTTTTTCTTTTTGTGTTAATATCTACCTTGTCTAATGATAATTTTCTGGTTTGTAAGTGGAAAAAAGCAAATATTAGAAGAAAATTCTTTCTCCCTAATACAAAGCTAAGTCTTTCATAAGTCTAAAAGTAGCTGCTTTGCTTTAACTGGAAATTTCATTATTGAATTAGTAACTTGACACAAAAGAATTAACAAAGTGAATCAAATACTCCAGCACAATGAAGTAAATTTAAAGAGGCCCACTCATCACCATTGCTGGCTGGTAAAGTGTAATTGCTGGTGCTGCCTTGTTTACCTTTTTGGTTTGATTTTGTTTTAAAGGAAATGTTCACTTGTATAGCATTCCTGCATAATTCAGATGCTGCACAAAGCTCAACCCTGGGAACCTATTTTGTAGCTCTCTGAATGTTTTTTATGCAACCTGCTTTTACAGGTTTAAATTACATTTTGTGACACTGTTTTTGTGGTTGAATTAGAAACTTTTTTTTTCTTTAGTTAAACCTGTGATAAGTAATTGTCACAGCTAGTGCCTTGGTACAATGCTAATTTGAAGTGACATGTCCATACTGGCCCTCTGTAACATGAAGAAGCCTAACAGGTGTGAGGGGTGTGGCTTCCCATGGGCTCTCTTGAACTTCTAACCGAGAAAAACAGCAGAAAAAGTGAAATGAACCTTGAATAAAGCTGTCAGCAGTAATTATCTCAGCGACACTTTGTGGGGAGATAAAATAAGCACTGATGCTTTTATAACCTGAGCACATTGCATCCAAGATAGATTTTTCACCCATTTAGTATAAACTTCTAAATACCTTTCAAGAGATATTTTCATACAGCCTAATTAAACAATAACAACAATAACAATTAACGTGAAATATAAATTGTTGAAAAACATGCATTTGTTTTTATTTTAACATGGTTTCTTTTTGATATTTAAGTAGTTTTAATAACAGAAAACTTTTTCCATGCTTCTTTTTGTGGTAAGCCATTATGGTGTGAAATCTCAAGTAATGTGTAGAAAATTATGTTCTCTTTTGGGAAAGGATACTTCCACAATTAGAAAAATGCTTGAAAGTTTGGTTTTCAGTTTCTTTGAGAGGTATTCAGTGTATTGAACATATCATCATATGGATCATATATGAAACAGGTAATACATATATTTGAATGAGCTGAATGACCTGCAAGTCATCATATGAACCCCACTGTATTGGAGTACAGTAAGAACCACGGAAGATTTGATCAATGTTTTTTAATCTGTTCTCCAAACACAATCCATTGTCTTTTTCTTTGACAGCTGTCTTTTAAAAGTATACTTTAATTTATTTAGCAAACTAATTCAAATCACTAATGACTATGTTTGCCTGACCTGAGTAGAGTATAGAAAAGTTAAAGTGAGATTTTTGTTTATAAATTTCCTGGCTATAGAAGCTAACTGTGGGGGTGTGGGGGAGTAAACAGGTGAAACGTGGTTTTGCAACATAAGTTGTTCTCTTTATTCTTTTCATGGTCTTAAAATATAGTTATATTTTGGGCAATCTAATGACTTAACTTTTTTTTTTTTTCCATAATTCAACTTCACCATGTTCCTGCATCCCCAAAATTAAAAGCTTGACAAGTCAGCCTGGTTGGTTTATGTTTCAGGTGGAGATGATGTCATTTTTAAAAGCTGGGAATCTTCAGGCGCAGTAGCTCACACCTGTAATCCCAGCACTTTGGGAAGCTAAGGTAGGAGGATTGCTTGAGCCCAGGAGTTCGAGACCAGTGTGGGCAACATAGCAAGACTCTACTAAAAATTTAAAAAAAGTTGGCCAGATGTGGTGGCATGTGCCTGTAGTATCAGCTGCTCAGGAGGCTGAAGTGGAAAAATTGTTGGAGCCTGGGAGGTAAAGGCTGTGGTGAGCTGTGATCAAGCCACTGCACTCCAGCCTGGGTGACAGAGTGAGACCTTGCCTCAAATAAATACTAGAGATGAAGTTAGTTCTGACTCAGTTTTGCTGTCTGTTAGGTCTGTGATCGACCCTGGGTGAAAATATGAGCCTCATTTTTCTTGTCTGTGAAATGGCGGTGTGGCAAGCTATGCCAGGTTCATTCTTACTAAGAGGGAATAACAAGGATTAGGCAGAATAGCATAAAATAGAACTAGCATGATCTATACTTTATTCACAAACCTAAAGCCTGGAAAATTATTGGCTTTATCAAAGCAGAAACTGTTCACCATTGGCTCTATCTCTAGCACTCAGCTGAGGTCTTGACACATTGTGGTTGTTCAGTAACTATTAGTTAAGTGAGTGGATAATGGTATTTTGCACTCTACTTATAGTACTGTCTGTCTGTTCCCCCAGAGTGATTTAGCAACATTCATACAGTCAAGCATAGATAGATATATTGGTTGATAGACAGATTCAGATACACATACTCTTGAATCTTCACAACAATCTTGTAACTTATAAGACTTTACAGAGGTGGAAATTAAGGCACTGAGAAGGTGAGAGAGTTGTCCAGAGTCATACAAGCTCTTAACCAGCAGAGCCAGGATTTCAAACCCTAGAAGAATGGCTTTGGAGTCCAAGTTCATAATTGCTCTGCTTTTATACCTCTGCAACGAAGTATAGTGACATCTACCTACCAAAGAAGTTACCTTACAATGACACATTTTTCCAGATACTTCGTTGTCAGTGATACAAATGATTTGAGAGATAGGGGGAGACATTTTGGGGTAGGACTTCTCCTTCTTCAGTAAGACACTACTTCTTCCCCTCCCCTCCTAGGACAGCAGGTCCCCTCATCCGTTGTACTCATTGAAGCAATGTTGCAGCCTCTCTTAGGATTACCATTTCCCTAGTGAACAGAACAGAAATGTCATACATGGTTATGGCCTGGGCAGACTTCCAAAGATGTAGGATGACAGAGTTTTGATCTCTAGGAATTTGGCTTTCCCCTCCTTTGGGTCCAGTTCCTGACCCACTCATGTAAAACCTTTGTCTATTGAGGTGCAAGGCGGGACTGAACTCCAGAGGCAGGGCTCAGGCACCTGACCAAATTGAGGACTAGCTAAAATAGGGACAGGGCAAAAGCAGCTTTCCATAAGACATGTCCACCATTGTGCCATGTCTGTTTACCATTACCATGGGAACACCCAGAAGTTACTGCCCCTTTCCATGTCAACAACTAAACAACCCAGAAGTTATCCCCCTTTTCCTAGAAATTTCTGCATAACCACCCCTTAATTTGCATGTAATTAAAAGCAGGTATAAATATGACTGCAGAACAGCCTTTGAGCTGCTACTCTGAGCACACTGCCTATGGGGGAGCCCTGCTCCGCAAGGAGCAGTAGCTTTGCTACTGTTGTACACTGCCACTTCAATAAAAGTTGCTGTCTTAACACCTCTGGTCCACCCTTGAATTCTTTTCTGGGCAAAGCCAAGAACCCTTCTGTGCTAAGCCCTAGTTTTGGGACTCGCCTGCCCTGCATCACTGTGACATCCACATTGCCTCTGTCTACTCAGTTCCCACCTGGGATTCTGGGTCTCCCCTTAGGAACTAGCTGAATAAATGAGGTTTATCTGGAAGATTTGTCCGAGTGTCACTGGATATGATTGACTACCAAAAGATACCAAGTGTTTTGGAGACAGAAAAATGTGAAATTGGGGAGGTCATATAGAAGGCTTTCAGAAAGAGATTGAGCTGAGTTTTGAAGAAGTTTTGTCACTTAAATTTTCCTCATATTATGTTCACATGCCTAAGAAATAGACAGATGGAAAAGAATGGTGAGGGAAACCCAGGCAAGAGTAATGGACTGAGCAGAAGCCTAAGAGTAGGCACATGCAAGGCACATTTTTGGATCATTGAGCAAAGAAACCTGTATACAAAAATAGTGGGAGGTAATGGCTGGAAAGGTGGGCAGGGTTATGGCCTTGAACATCAGACTGAAAAAGTTTTCAGGGTGAGAGAAAACATGAGAATCATCTAGTCCAATTTTTTCATCATACAGGTGATAAAACTTAGAGAAGAAAGTCGATCAAGGTCACAGAATGAATAAGAGGCAGATTTAGAGTTTTAACCCAGGTCCTTTGCTCTATATATAGTGTTTTTCCCAAGTATTTACACACCTGGAATCATACCACAGGCTGACTTATGGCAGAAAGGAGTCATACAAGGGCACCATGAAGCCTAAAGATGTAAAAGAACAATTTTTGCTTTGCTTTAATGGTGGCAACAGGAAAAAAAAAGGTGGCTTACAGGCTAGTTAAATGTTTTTAAGCTAAATGTTCTCAGGAGGCTTAACTGGTCCCTCAAAGTCATTGCAGCAGACAGAGATACCTTTTTAGTTTTTCATTTGTTTGTTTGTTTGTTTTTGTTGTTGTTATTTTTGCCTCCAATAGCCTGTTGTTCTTTCTCTCAATTTTGGTTTAGTTCCTCTCGCAGGAATTGAATGGGAAACCTGGAGCAAGTTCCACTTTTGGACATGGCTATGTAATGTATCCTTTCGAAATTCCCAGTCGTAAGCAGGTAATGAGTGATATAAGATATGGGCCCTTAGAAACCCTCACAGCTCAGCCAGGCGCGGTGGCTCACGCCTGTAATACCAGCACTTTGGGAGGCCGAGGTGGGCGGATCACCTGAGGTCAGAAGTCCGAGACCAGCCTGACCAACATGGAGAAACTCCGTCTCTACTAAAATACAAAAAAATTAGCCAGGTGTGGTGGCGCATCCCTATAATCCCAGCTACTCGGGAGGCTGAAGCAGGAGAATCGCTTGAACCTGGGAGGCGGAGGTTGTGGTGAGCTGAGATCGTGCCATTGCACTCCAGCCTGGGCAACAAGAGTGAAACTCCGTCTCAAAAAAAAAAAAAAAAAAAAAAAAAAAGCAACTCTCACAGCTACAATATATCTAAACAAAAATGCTCTCCACAGGTTGGCACTCACAAGAATGTTATGTGGGAAATGATAAGAAACCCTTCTCTCTTTATAATTTAAATTTGTTCACTTAGGAAGAAATTTTTCTTTAACATTGGTCGGCATCATTTGGATATCTTTGGTATGGAAAAGACTGAATAATATATTTGGTTGTTATATGTTTTAGAACATATACTAATACAGTTAAATTTAATTGACATAAGTTGATATAAAATACTTAAATGATACCAATTCTGTCATCTAGGCTTAGATTCTTAAAAATAATTGGGCATTGCAACTGAAAACACCTATATGATAATCCTTCTGGCAAGGACACAAAGATGAGGTGGTGTGTGATTTTTATTTTTTTAAAGTTGAAAATCTAGTCCACTATGCTACATATTTTTTCACTTATCTCTTTATTGCTGTCAACAAAGATATTATTCCCATTTCTCAGACAAGGAAACTGAGATGTTTTGAGATAAGCAGCTTTCCTGAGAAATGACATTAGTTATCAAAGCCTGGCTCCAAGGCCAGGTTATTTGGATCCAAGTGCCTGACATATAATAACTTAATATTTATTGAATAAGTTATCAACTCTGAGTAACTATATGGTTAGTATAACATTCAACAAATAGTTCTAAATTATCAAATAATATGAGGAAGAAAAGCAGAGTCAAGAGAAATCTGCACATATTCCAGATCTCTCTTTCCCCCTCACCCTTCTTACTGGTTATAGGCAATGTGTTTAATATGTTCTTTTCCCTCTTCTGCCCTCCACCAGAGGGTGCTCATAAGCAACTAAATGGCATAAAGCTGTAGTGATAGGAACTGTGAAAGAAGGGCTATTTTAATTCACAGTGTGGATTATTGGCCTCTGTGAAAAAAAAAAAAAGTTGACTTTGAAACAGAGTTCTTGATTGAGCTGAAATAACTTTGGTTTAAAGTTGCCTTACAAATAACATCTTGAGCACTTACTTACCTGAGGATAGTACTTTTTTATATAGGTAAAGTTGACCATTCTCTCTAAAAAGGTATGAGGGACTATGCCATTAGACAGTGTTAGGCTGGTCTGGGTTGTATTTCTTATTGTGTAACTTAATGCTCTTCAGAAGTATTTTAATGACGTAAAATACTTCAGAACCTCTTCTAGTGTACTCACTAAAATCAATAAGTAATGAAGTACAAGAATATTGATGTCTGTGTTTAGTTATAAAAGCATATCCATTTAGAAATTGTGCTAATTCTGTTACAGTGAGCAGCTCTTTATCTCGCTATGACATAATCTGGTTTTAGGGGATGAAATGCCCTAGAAGATTAAAAAAACAAACAAACAAAAAAACCTTTTATATTGAGCAACCTCTGTTTGATAGCCAAAATCTCAAGATAATGTTGGGACAGTATAAGGAAGCATAAAAGTGGGTAATTATAATGTGGAAAATAGCATCAGGTGATTCTCCTTGATTTTGAGAGTCCCACCAGATTAAATGAAAGAAACCAAAAAAGTAAGTCAGGAGCATTTAAAATTACTATATATATTTCCAAAAGCTTTTAAAAAGAAAATATGAGATAATTAAATCAAGATATTTGTTAGTATTTTACAATTAACTGTAACATCTTTAAAAAACACATAGCTGGCTGGGTGTGGTGGCTCACACCTGTAATCCCAGCACTTTGAGAGGCCAAAAGGGGGAGCCCAGGAGCTCAAGACCAGCCTGGGCAACATGATGAGACTCCATCTCTACAAAAAATAAGGAGACCCTCATTTCTACAAAAAATTAAAGAATTAGCTGGGCATGGCAGCATGCACCTGCAGACTCAGCCACACAGGAGGCTGAGGTGGGAGGATTGCTTGATGCTGGGAGATCGAGGTGGCAGTCGGCCGTGATTGTACCACTGCACTCCAGTCTGGGTAACAAAGCAAGACTGTCTCAAAAAACAAAAAAAGAAGAAAAAGAAAAACCGAGATTAGGAGTCAAGAAGAGAACATGCTTGTGCTATCATTAAGCAGATGTGAGACTTGGGACAAACACTTTACCTCTCTATACCTCAGTTTCTTTTCCTGTTAAGTGAGAGGATTAGACCCTTATCTTGTGAGGAGAAACTGCCTTTCATTTGGAATCTGTTGGGGATGGTGGGATCACTGATAGAAGTTTAAGAGAAGGCTGCTGATACCTTCTCTCTGGAAATTCTTATTACTAGCTTGGAATGGGGCAAGGGAGATGCTGAGTGGTGGAAGATATGGCAGTAGCACTTGACTCAGCTAAGGCTTCAAGATCTCCTGGTTGGGATACAAGCAACTGATGAATTCTGAGGACTCTTCCAAATCTAGTATCTTGTGTGTAAAATGAAGCCATGTATAGCAGCCATCCTTGTTTCTTCCAGCTCCGGTTGCTTACATGGTAGTGTTTGTGTTTATGTACATAGCAAAAAGCCTGAGAACTTGTAACTGTTGGTGTTTATTTCATTAAACTTTACCAACTTGCCAAATCAATTGAGGACTATAACGCAGCAAGGCCAGGCAGAGAACACAGTTTTTTGAGCTATTTACACAGGAGTTTTGTTGATAATTGATCTTGACCTGCACATGTCTTTTAATATTCTGTTGGTTCCAGAATATTATTAGTCACTTCCTTTTTAACAGTGTGCTTTTTTATGAGGTGACTAAACTGCTGTTTAACCCTGCTACAAGAATGTGGCAGTGGGCTAGTCCAGACAAGTGCATGTACACTTGGTAACTAGCATTCTTGATAAGCTTGCTTCAACCTGCCACAAATTAAAGCTCTGTGTGACTTTTCTAGCACATAAGTGACAAAAAAAATGGCTGGGGGAAGGGCAGAAGAAACCTCGGATTGTGAATAAAAATAAGCTTTTTAGAGTTGCGCTTTGGTTGGCAGTAAATGAAATTTTAGCCTCATGACTCAGTTCGGTTTAAAACTACCTCAGTAATCTATTTAGCTGAACAGTAAGCATCTGAAAATTTAAAAGGGGTATTCTAGAAGTCATCTTCAGGACTCCTTACTATAAAAAACCTTATCTACGTTGGAAATGTGATGTAATAGAAAACTCCATGGCTTTTGGAGTTAAATCTGGTTTGCCATCTGGTACCTGATTTATCTTGGACAGGTTACTCCACTACTCTAAGGTTGTTTTATGATTTGTACAATCACGATAGTCTTTAATTTACAGAGTTGTCATGTATGGTAGACATATGTTAAGCACTTACTATGTAGTTTCTGACTAATGGATGGTATCTAGGAGTAGCTGTTTTAATTAAGCCAAAGAAAGTAATTACTGGTTATCAGATAGTAAGACAAGATATCTTAGAGCCTTAATAGTTGTTCGATTGGATACTTTTTAAATGGTTGTGAGATAAAGTGCCTGAGTTTTAATTTTGGTTCACCAGTCAGTACCTGTTTGACTTTGGGCAACCTTCTTATTCTGTGTGAGATTTAGTAACCTCATCTCTAAAGTGGGGATTATAATCCTTACCTGGCAGAGTTATTGTGAGAATTAAGTGGGGTAGTGCGTGTAAAGCACTTTGTGTAATAACAATACATACTGAGCTCTTAATAGTAGCAGTTATTATACAACTGCTTTTTAAAATACGGAATGGTTTCATGGGTGTATGTATATATATGTCAAAAAGCAATACTTTAGGCTGGGTGAGGTGGCTCCTATCTGTAATCCCAGCATTTTGGGAAGCCGAGGCGGGCAGATCACTTGAGGTGAGGAGTTCAAGATCAGCCTGGGCAACATGATGAAACCCCATCTCTACAAAAATACAAAAATTAGCCGGACTTGGTGGCATGCACCTGTAGTCCCAGGTACTCAGGAGGCTGAGGCAGGAGAATCGTTTGAACCTGGGAGACGGAGGTTGCAGTGAGCTGAGATCACACCACTGCACTCCAGCCTGGGTGGCAGAGTGAGACTCTGTCTCAAAAAAAAAAAAAAAAAGCAATACTTTATATGAGGATATAAATGCATATATTAATAGCACTGAATACTGCCTTATTGAAGTATAATTGACCTGTAATAAACCATACATTTTTTAAGTGTACAGTTGGATACATCTTGACATACAAATACACAGATTAAAAAGATCATCAGTGCAGTGTAGTCAGTGCTAATATCCGGTAGCATTCCCAAATCTGGATGAAATTACATCAGTGTCTTGTGAGGACGATGACAAGCTTGAGATATGGTTTTTAAAAAATGTCTCATATTAATTGTTCTTCTTAAAACACAAGAGAATTGTATTTTACAAACTGAGTGAATAAAAGATAAAAACAGTAAAGCTGTAGTTTGAATCTCGTTCACTTGTGTTACTGGGTGTGTCACATGCAGAGCAAGGAGTCTGCAGGTGACATAACCAAATCTCCTTAGTGATGTATGAAGATCATAGCCCATTAGGGCTAGAAGGGATCTGAGAGGCCATTTAGTTGGTCGTACCTATATTTTACAAAAGGAGATGTTAAGACTCTTGGTTACTGACCCAAGGTCCCATAACAGGTTTTATAGCTTCCAATACTCTTAAAATGTCTTATTCTTTGTCATTTATAATTAGAAAAAAAGACAGACTGCAAGCATGTATTTGGGGAGGGTTAAAATTTGGCTATAAAATAAAAAATACTTTGAAGAACTAATTCATATGTATATGAATATATGTATATATGAATATATGTATACATATGAATATATATGTGTATATATGAATATATGTGTGTATATGAATATATATAGTGTGTGTGTGTATATATATATATATGAATATATATGTATTGTTTGAGACTGAGTCTCACCCAGGCTGGAGTGCAGCGGCTCAATCTCAGCTCACTGCAACCTCTGCCTCCCGGGTTCAAACAGTTCTCCTGCCTCAGCCTCCCGAGTGCCTGAGAGTACAGGCTCCCGCCACCATGCCGAGCTAGTTTTTGTATTTTTAGTAGAGACGGGGTTTCACCACGTTGGTCAGGCTGGTCTCGAACTGCTGGCCTCAAGTGATCTGCCCTCCTTGGCCTCCCAAAGTGCTGGAATTACAGGTGTCTCACACCGAGCCACCACGCCCAGCCTACTAATTCATATTTTTAAAGAAAGAAGTATTAAGAATGGCCTTAAATGCTCTGAGGACCAAGCTTAACATGATAATACTGTGTTTTACTAACAACTTGTTAGACATAGCCAGAGATCAGTCATGATGGTTTACTGGAGTTTTCCTTTGCATATTGTCCTAGTATTTTATTTTCATGTGAAGAATAACATAAAGAATAATACAAAGAAAATACTATATGCTTTGTTTATTGTGTAAAGAAGAAACATCGAAAAGATTCTAAGATTTTGAAAGAGCTTTTTTGTCTTCTCAGTTGTTTCAAGTAATAGTTGTCATTATTCATGAAAATTAGTTGCATATGTACACATTACATAGTTCAGCAGTTCACAGCTTTTTGGTCTCAGGATCCTTTTGCACTTGTAAAGAAATCATCAAAGACCCCAGAGAGCTTTTGTTTATGTGGATTATATTCATTGACATTTACCATTCTAAAAATTAATATTGAAGAAAATAATATTTAAGATAACAAGTGAATTACATGTTAATATAAATAGCATTTTTATACAAAGTAATTATATTTTCTAAAAATTCAGTAAGTAAAGTGACACTGTTTTTATACTTTTACAAATCTCTTTAATGTCTGTCTTAATAGAAGACAACTGGATTTTCGTGTCTTCCTTCTTCTGCATTTAACCTGTTGTAATGAATTTTTTTGATTGAAAATATGAAGAAAATCTGACCTCCTACAGATCTATAGTTGGAAAAGGGAGGAGTATTTTAATAGTCTTTTCAAATAATTATAGATATTATTCTTTGATACTAAACTAGAACTTGAGAAGTGGTAGTTTCCTAAAGGTTAGTCTTATTTTTTTTATTTTAATTTTTTTGTGTGTGTATATGTGGCAAGGAGCTTTCTCGGGTAAAGCTAAATGTTACTTTCAATGTAGAATCTGAAGCCCTACCACTATACATTTTGTATTAATACTTTGTCACAGTAAGATACATTGGTCTGCCTCACAGTTTGAATTAAACCTTTATCCATACATAATTTTATAACATCATGCAATCACTGTTCATTTGGAGAATATTGGTCTTGTGAGTTATGCAGATTTTCTAAATGTTGACACATTTCATTACATGATATAAAAAGTCACATCTATTATATTAATATAACCACTGAACGCATCACAAAGGCTTTAAGCATTGAGAAGCTGTCAAGCTCATGATGGCTGATAGTTTTTAAAACTCTTAATTTTTACATGAAAACTCAAATTTTGTCATTGGCAATTAATACTGTCAGACCTGTTCCTTGAAGTAGTAGTCTCACTTCATTCATTTTGGAGAAAATGTTCAGCAATTAGGGATACTCAATCACAGGTTGAGTATCCGTAATCTGAAAATCTGAAACTTTTTAAGCAGCAACATGATGTTAAAAGGAAATGCTCATTGGAGCATTTCAGATTTTGGATTTTTAGATTTGAGATGCTCAACTGTTAGGTATATATGATGCCAATATTCCAAAACCCAAAACAGTTCTAAGTCTGAAACACCTCTGGTCCCAAGCATTTTAAATAAGGGATACTTGTCTAAATACCAAATCCAAATAACCACAGTTTGTCTGCCCATCATTTGTTTAAGTAGTAATGGTGTTTCTGAAAAAAAGTGGCTGATTCAGCATATAACTGAAACACACATGCTTTTTCTTCAACCCATCCATTATACTTTGGTATGCTGTAGAAGTCCTTTATACATACTTCCCATTTGTCACATAGAATATTAAAAGACATGTATTAAGAGTCAAAATTTACTTAATAAATAAATTAAATTACTTAATAATTTTTACTGATTTAACAGGGACATTATTAAATGAAACTGCCATTTTTACAGTGAGTAAATGGAACTGGAGATTTTTAACAGCTTGGTGTTACTACCTTAATTTGTGCTGAAGTACCAGCAGATTTGCCTACCATTGCTTTTTTTAACATCAGTATAAAAACACTGTGGCCAGGTGTGGTGGCTTAGGCCTGTAATCCCAGCACTTTGGGAGGCTGAGGTGGGCAGATCACCTGAGGTCAGGAGTTCAAGACCAGCCTGGCCAACGTGTTAAAACCCCGTCTCTACAAAGATACAAAAATTAGCCAGGCATGGTGGCACACACCTGTAATCCCAGCTGCTTCGGAGGCTGAAGCAGGAGAATCACTCGAACCTGGGAGGTGGAGGTTGCAGTGAGCTGAGATCGTACCACTGCACTCCAGCCTGGGTGACAGAGCGAGGTTCCCTCTCAAGAAAATAAATAAATAAATACAACACAGTGAAAAAGTCTAATGCCATTTAAGTATTATTATGAAATAATTTTGACCTTATGGAACTACTGAAAGAATCTCAAGAACCCTGTGCCTGTAGTACATACTTTGAGAATCACATAGTATGTTCTTTTTTTTTTGAGACGGAGTTTCACTCTTGTTGTCCAGGTTGGAGTGCAATGGCACAATCTCAGCTTACTGCAACCTCCACTTCCCAGGTTCAAGCAATTCTCCTGCCTCAGCCTCCCAAGTAGCTGGGATTACAAGCATGAACCACCATGCCCGGCTAATTTTTTGTATTTAGTAGAAATGGGATTTCACCATGTTGGTCAGGCTGGTCTCGAATTCTTGACCTCAGGTGATCCACTCGCCTCAGCCTCCCAAAGTGCTGAGATTACAGGCGTGAGCCACCGCGCCCAGCACATGAGCCATTGCGCCCAGCACAGTATGTTCTTAACACTAAATACTGTTTGTAAGAAGAAAAGAAAAAACTTCAAATGGACTTTGAGTATTCACTCACTGATAGAATATCTACTATGTAGCAAGTGTATTCTCATTTAAGCCATCCTCACAGAAAGCCTGTTAGGAAAGGTCATGTTAATTTTACAGAACAGAAAACTTAGCCTTTTTTTTTTTTTTTTTTTTTTTAAAGACAGGTTCTTGCTTTATCACCCAGGCTAGAATGCAGTGGCATGATCTCAGTTCTCTGCAGCCTTGACCTCCTGGGCTCAAGCAATCCTCCCATCTCAGCCTCCCTAGTAGCTGGACTATGGGTGTGTTCCACCATGCCCAGCTAATTGGTTTTTCTTTTTTTGGAGACAGGGTCTCACTCTGTCACCCAAGCTGGAGTACAGTGGCATGATCACAGCTCACTGCAGCCTTAACCACCTGGGCTCAAGTGATCCTCCTGCCTCAGCAACCCAAGTAGCAAGGACTACAGGCGTGCACCCCCATACCCAGCTAATCTTTTGTTTATGTTTTTAGAGACAAGATCTCACTATGTTGCCCAAGCTGGTCTTGAACTCCTGAGCTCAGGCTATCCTCCTGACTCAGCCTTGCAAAGTGCTGGAATTACAGGCATGAGCCACCACGCCCAGCCAGGAAACTTAGTTTCGAGATGGAAAATATTGATTCGAGTGAATAGTAGAAGTGAATTTGAACTCAGGACACTCTGAGTTTAAAAGTCCATTCTACACTTAGCCGTCTCCTGTTACTAAATAGAAAAAGTTCCTTTAGGGATCAACAAGAATTTGTTAAGTGCCTGCCTTTTCCATGGATTACTTTTTAACAGAACAAATTTACTTAATTTTGTTCATTTTTCTTCATGTCTTGTCAAAAAATGATTTACCATCCTTATATTTCAATCATTGACAGCTGACAAGAACAATTAAATTCTTGCCAACTATAGCTATTTTTTCCTTAAGATGTGGCCTTAAAAATATAAATACTGTAAAATAATAATTATTTTTGTGAAAAAGGGTTTTCTTTGGATAATTTAAATGCATAAACTTTTTGTGTTGATGTAGTATAATTGTCAAATTATTTAATTGGACACATATACTTAAAATAATGTTAATATTATATAATGTTAATTTACAAATACTGCTTTTGTAGCTACCCTCATATTTCATGATATTTATTCAAATTCTATGGGCATTTTTTTATATATAAGCATCATCATCACCACTAGGGTCACTTTTTTTTTTCTTTTTGGTTGACATTGTAAAGACTAAATAATTGAATTGAATAAGATAACTACTCTTGTGTTAATTAAGGAACAGGCTAACTTAGAAAGACCCCAGAATATAAGGTGACAGTGGGCTTCTCTCATGGAACAGTCTAGGTGAGGAAGGTGTTTCTGCTAAAGTCATGTTTTCTAGAGTCCATCCTTTTCGCTGGACATTTTATCTCAAGCCACAGATATTCTTCACAGACTAGTAAAAAGTAATGTTTGTTGAGCCACCAACTGTGTGCTAGGCATTTTCTCATTGCTTTACCCATAAACTCAACCTTATTATCCCTACGCTGTGGAGAAAGTAATAATCAAATACTATCCCTATCTAGGTGTCATTAAGGACAGTTGTAATTTTTTCATTTGCTTATTTTTTGTTTTGTTTTGGTTTCATTTGTCCTATGTATGTATATTCATCATCTTCCCAAGACATTTTTCAAAGTATCTTTTAAAGACAGGTTTATAAGGACTTTTAATACTTGCAATTGTGAGATTATACAGAGCTCTAGGAATAATCATGTCTTATCATTGTCTTCTTTATTAACCAGTTTTGACAAGTAAACTCTGGGAGAACCTGAAGCATCATTGACTCAGGTTATTTAAGGCTAATCTGTCGAAACAGTGTATTGAAAATGAAGTATTTGAGGAAGCACCCTGTAATAGGAGAACTTTTGTAACTACTCAAATATAAGGCAGCTTCCTTTATGATAAAACCTAAACTTAGATTTTTGTATATTTCTGATATATGTATCTTATGGAAATTTTAAATTTTGTATCTCACCTACAATTTTATATTTCTATCCCTACTGCCTTCGGAGTTAGGAAAATGAGGTATTATTCTGCTAATCAGAAAAGTAGCAGACGCACATTGAGGCAGTGGGGGATTGGGGGCAAGTATGTATGATTTGCCTTATTTTGGGCTCATACCAGTTTCCTAGAACCTCAGTCTATCATCTAATGAAAATTAGCCTTAGCTACCATAACATCCCATGTGTGGAAAAATTTCAAATTTTCAAAGCCTTCCTGGTAATGTAATACCCAGGATACTAGAGTTAGCTTTCTAATCTAGCTTCAGCAATAATAGAAAATACCTGAAAAGTCAAATCCTTTTGTGAAACATGGCCGTATTTTGTTTACAAATGATGGATTCTACTTTTTGCAGATGTGTCTTGCTGAATCAGGGCTCTCTTATCCCTGCCATCGACTTACAGTGGGAAGAAGATCTTCACCTGCACAGACCCGGGAACAGTCGGAAGAAGTAAGCCTGTTTGCCAGCTTTTCTTTGAACAGAAGGCCCATCCCCCACCTACCTGCGCACTTCCCTTTTTTTTTATCTGCCAGAGCAATGAACAGATAAAGTTAATGTAGCATTA
Source organism: Homo sapiens (assembly GCF_000001405.40). Classification (NCBI taxonomy): domain Eukaryota; kingdom Metazoa; phylum Chordata; class Mammalia; order Primates; family Hominidae; genus Homo; species Homo sapiens. The sequence continues at coordinate 50,596,005 of NC_000001.11, read as the reverse complement.
ATTAAATCTCGGTAAATTCTTGAAGGCAGAAACTGTCCATGCAAGGTTACTACTAATGTGCTCCTTCTCGCTCTGTTAGTTTCATGTTTCAACAGACGGAATTCAGATGGATTGGTTGAAATGATTTTTACTTAGAACCATCAGGCTAACAAAGAACTTTCTAGGCTGGGCACAGTCACTCACGCCTGTAATCCCAGCACTTTGGATGGCCGAGACAGGCAGAGCACATGAGGCCAGGAGTTCGAGACCAGCCTGGCCAACATAGTAAAACCCCGTCTCTACTAAAAATACAAAAATTAGCCAGGTGTGGTGGCAGACACCTATAATCCCAGCTACTTGGGAGGCTGAGGCATGAGAATTGCTTGAATCCAGCAGGCAGAGGTTGCAGTGAGCCGAGATCGCGCCACTGCACTCCAGCCTAAGCAACAGCATGAGAATGCATCTCAAAAAAGAAAAAAGAAACTTTTTTTTGCTATTGACTGTGTAGTTGAGTAGATTCATTAGGATTGACCCCGGAAGTCCTTTAACTCATTGGGTTGGAGCACTTACTATGAAGCAGACACTGTGCTTAATATCTTTAGATAACAAAGATGAATAACACTATACCTATACCAAAGTGCTGAGAGTCAAGGGTGATAGATAAAATAACAGTGGCCAGGTACAGTGACTTACACCTGTAATCCCAGCACTTTGAGAGGCCAAGGTGAGTGGATCACCTGAGGTCAGGAGTTCGAGACCAGCCTGACCAACATGGAGAAACTCCGTCTCTACTAAAAATACAAAATTAGTTGGGTGTGGTGGCGCATTCCTTTAATCCCAGCTACGCAGGAGGCTAAGGCAGGAGAATCACTTGAACCCAAGAGGTGGAGGTTGTAGTGAGCCGAGATTGTGCCATTGCACTCCAGCCTGGGCAACAAGAGTGAAATTCCATCTCAAAAAAAAATAAAAATAAAAAGATAATAATAATAGTGATGGCATAATATAAAAAATGCAGTGATAGTGTTGCACACAGGGGTCCTAAAGAAACAAAGAGAAGGGGCAGATAAGATTGAACACGTTTGTTTGTGTGTTGTGCCTATTTGGGTCTAAGTGAGCCTAAAGAATATATATATATATAATTTTTTTTTTTTTTTTGAGATGGGGTTTCACTCTTGTTGCCCAGGTTGGAGTGCAATGGAGCGATCTCGGCTCACTGCAACCTCCACCTCCCAGGTTCAAGCGATTGTCCTGCCTCAGCCTCCCAAGTAGCTGGGACTACAGGTGCCCGCCACCACGCTCAGCTAATTTTTGTATTTTTAATAGAGACGGGGTTTCACTATATTGGCCAGGCTGGTCTCGAACTCCTGACCTCGTGATCCACCCCCAACCCCCACCCCCCCCGGCCTCCCAAATTGCTGGGATTACAGGTGTGAGCCACCACGCCTGGCCCAAGCCTAAAGAATATTATAAGGAAATATTTAAATTCTGTTCCATGGCTACAAACAGCACTTTCATGCCCAACTCTGACCATGGTTATAAGGAAATGGGAAAGAGAGCATGGATGTTTTAACTTATTTAAGAAATATTTATTGAGCTCTTACTATGTGCTAGGAAAAGTCATCACCAAGACTTCAAAAGTGTATACAATGGAGGTCATAACTAAATAGCACAGATGAACTTTATTTAAACTATAATTTTTTTTTTTTTTTTTTGAGACAGGATCTCACTCTGTCACCCAGGCTGGAGTGCAATGGTGCGATCTCGGCTCACTACAACCTCTGCCTCCTGGGTTCAAGTGATTCTCGTGCCTCAGCCTCCCAGGTAGCTGGGATTACAGGCACGCACCACCACACCCGGCTCAATTTTTTGTGTTTTTAATAGAGACGGGGTTTCACTATGTTGGCCAGGCTGGTCTTGAACTCCTGACCTCAAATGATCCACCCTCCTCAGCCCTCCAAAGTGCTGGGATTACAGGTGTGAGCCACCACGCCTGGCCTTAAACTAGAATTTTTTAAGACAGAGCATGATTCAAGTATTTAAAAGCTTAGGCTAGTAAGATAAAAATTTTTTTCCATTTACATTCTATACAAAATGTGGTTGCTCATTTTTATTTAAACTGCCTATATATTTTGGACACCCATTATGGAAGCTACCACAGGACTTCTCCAGCCATCCTTTGAATACGTATTTATATCACTTAAACATGTGAAAGAGAAATGGAGTTATGTAATTGAAGTTGTAGTCTATAATCATCCTGTGAAAATTATAATTTGCCACTCTGGTTTTTAACATTTTTTAGAAAACCACAGAGAAGGAAGTGTTTTCCCCTGCTAATAATATGACTGTGCTGTATTATACTGTACTATACTTGGTCTCCAAAAATGTTTATTCCTTTTCAAGAGACCAAACCATTTTTTTTTAAAGCACTTTATCTCACTAGCCCTTGTGAAAGAAAGATAATATTGAGTTTCACTGCTTGGCAGAAATTGCCGGACATAATTTAATGAGATATTTCTTTAAAGTGCTTGAGTCTGTTTTTAATGGCTAGAGTAGGTCATACTTCCACTCTTTAATGGATAAATCCACTAACATTAAAAGGTGGCCAACTAGCCCCAACCAAAATTTTTAATTATTCTGTGTCCTATCTGAGAGGTGACAGGTAACTGTTTCACTTCATTTATTTTCTTCTCTCACCCTCACTATTATATGTGTTATTTGGGTGGTCCCATCAGCAGAGAGAAGTCAGTTCCATATAGTGAAGAGCAGTGTTTGTGAGGCTAGCACACTATTTAGGTTATTTTGAGAAAATGGTAGTGTGGGATTGGGAGGCTTTGCCAAACTAAAACATTCACAACCTCGGTAATATCTTATTATTACTGAATAATAATATCTTATTATTAGGAGTTTTGCCCTCCTATAATAACCAGTTTCATTTTTGAGCAGCTTTTTCTGTTGTCTTCCTTATATTAAGTTGAAATATGTGTAATTGTACCTTCTACCCAGTGATTCTACTGCTGTCTTCCGGTTCTACTCCTACATGACTTTGTGTGTTTTAAGACAATCATCTTTCTTTCTTTTTTTTTTTTTTTGAAACAGAGTCTTGCTCTGTTGCCCAGGCTGAAGTACAGTGGCACAATCTTAGCTCACTGCAGCCTTCTCCCCACGGGTTCAAGCAATTCTCGTGCCTTAGCCTCCCAAGTAGCAGGGACTACAGGCATGTGCCACCATGCCCGGCATTTTGAGTAGAGACAGGATTTTGCCATGTTGGCCAAACTGGTTTTAAGCTCCTTACCTCAAGTGATCTGCCCTCCTTGGCCTCCCAAAGTGTTGGGGTTACAGGTGTGAGTCACCGTGCCCAGCCAACAATAATCATTTTGCTGTTGACTTTCTTAAACTTTGAGTTAGGAAGGAAATATTTGAGACCAGCAGTTAAATTCAAGTTTTAGACTTTATGGATTGTAGTTATATTTCCTTTAGCTGGGAGAATTTTGATTCTTACATCATCTCTCTGGCCCTACAGACACAGTTTCTTTACGATCATTTAATATTTTTTCTTCTCATCCTCCCCTTGTTCCTGAGCCCCCGTTTAATGATTTTTCCATATTTCTGGATACCTAGCTAGGTAACAATTTATCCTCAGTTGCTTGGGTGAGACAGTGTGGGGGCCTTGTTGACCCTGGCTCCTTGGGAATTGTTCAGTTCTCAGTTGACAGTGAAGAAGGAGAAGAAATCCAAAAACTTAACAACAACAAAAAGTTTTAATGTAATGTTAAAAGCATCAGTTTATAACTATGGTTAAAGAAACATTTATTGAATGCTCACTATGTACTAGTCAGATGAATATAAATTGATAATTTTATATTATATGATTAATGAGAAAATTGAGGCAAGCATGAGATGCTAGGGGAGCATAGATAATGGGGGTGGGTTGTAACTTTCAAGAATGTTTGCAGGCAAGAACTTTGTTTGTCTTTCTCCCCTCTGTAGCCCTAACACCTAGCATAGTGCCTGGCATGTAACAGACACAGAATAGTTATTTGTAAATGAATATTTTTTAAATAAAGGAAATAAAAAAAGACTAGAGGAGGTGACATCCACATTGGATTATAAAGAATGAGTCACAGCCAAATAAAGAATCAAAGGAATCATATTCCATTCATTCCATTCAGAGAAAAAAAGCATGATTTGATGTAGCAAATGAGAAGAGATAAGTGTAGGTTGCTGTTAGTGCAGAAGAAAGTCGGGGGAAAAGGAAGATAAGAGATGAGGTGAAAGTGAGTAAGTCTTGTATGACACATTGAGAATTTGGAACTGTAGAAAGCAGTAAAAGCCTTTTTTTTTTTTTTTTTTTTCTGAGATGGAGTCTCGCTCTGTTGCCTAGGGTGGAGTGCAGTGGTGCGATCTCGGCTCACTGCAACCTCCACCTCTCGGGTGCAAGCTATTCTCGTGCCTCAGTCTCCTGAGTAACTGGGATTATAGGCACCCACCACCATGCCCGGTGAAATTTTTGTATTTTTAGTAGAGACGAGGTTTCGCCATGTTGGCCAGGCTGGTAACTCCTGACCTTAAGTCGTGATCCACCTGCCACGCCCTTCCAAAGTGCTGGGATTGCAGGCATGAGCCACTGCACCTGGCCAGCAGTAAAAGACTTTTAAGTGGGGAGTGATATCTCCCCACAAATACACAGTTTAGTGAAGAGCGCTCTGCTGTGCACAGGCTAGATTTAAAAGAAACAAGACAGAAGACAGAGAAATCAGGTATGAGTCTGTTGTACTAGTGCAAGCAAGAGATAATGGAATCCTCAATGTAATACAGCACATTTACAGAATGAAGGAAAAAAACACGTCATCATCTGCATTTGGTAACATTCAACACCCTTTCATGGTAAAACTAGAAATAGAAGAAAACTACTTCAACATAATGAAAGACATATCTGAAAAACTCACAGCAAACATCATACTCAAGGGTGAAAGACTGAAAACTTTTTCTCTAAAATCAGGAACAAGATAAGAATGACCCCTTTCTTTCTTTCTTTTTTTTTTTTGGAGACAGAGTCTCGCTCTGTTGCCCAGGCTGGAGTACAGTGGCACGATCTTGGCTCACTGCAACCTCCGCCTCCTGGGTTCAAGTGATTCTCCTGCCTCAGCCTCCTGAGTAGCTGGGACTACAGGAGTACACCACCACACCTGGCTAATTTTTGTAATTTTAGTAGAGACAGGGTTTCACCATATTGGTCAGACTGGTCTCAAACTCCTGACCTCAGGTGATCTATCCGCCTCAGCCTCCCAAAGTGCTGGGATTACAGGCGTGAGCCACGGCGCCCGGCCAAGAATGACCCCTTTCACCATTTCTATTTGACATAGTTCTGGAAGTTCTGGCCAGGGCAATTAGGCAAGAAAAAGAAAAAGAAATAAAAGGAAGGATTAAAATAATCTCTGTTCACTGAGGATAATTTTATATGTAGACAACTCCAAAGATTACATTTTTAAAAAACTATTGGAACTAAAAAATGAATTCAGCAAAATACCAAGATACAAAGTCAACACACAAAAATCACTTGCATTTCTATAAACCAACAGTCAACAAGCTGAACAGAAAATTAGAAAAACAATTCCAATGTCAAAGCATCAAACAGAATAATACTTAGGAATTAACTAATAAAAGAAGCGGGAGACTTGTACTATGAAAGCTACCAAACATTGCTGAAAAATTAAAGAAGATATAAATAAATGGAAACACATTTCATGTACATGGGTTGGAAGGCGTAATATTGTAGTGCCCAAAGCAGTCTACAGAAATCCGTATCAAAATTCCAATGGTGGTTTTTTGCAGAAATAGAAAAACTTATCCAAAAATTCATATGGAATTTCAAGGGACCTTGAATAGCCAAAAACAATCCTGAAAAAGAACAAAGCTGGAGGACTCACTCTTCCTGATTCCAATGTTTAGTAAAAAGATACAGTAATCTCAACAGTACAGTGCTAGACTAACATATAGCCCAATGGAATATAATAGAGAGCCCCAACATACCAGCATATTATGATAAAATGGTTTTTGACAAGGGCACTAATCCCATTCAATGGAGAAAGGGAAGTTTTTTCAACAAACGGTACTGGGAAAACTGGATATCCACATGCGAAAGAATGAAGTTGGACCCTTACCTAATATCATATGCAAAACTAAACTCAAAATATATGAAAGACCTAACTGTAAGATCTAAAACAATACAACTGTTAAAAGAAAACATAGGGCAAAAGTTTTATGACATTGGATTTGGCAATGATATCTTGGTATGACACTAATGGCACAGGTAACAAAAGAAAAAATAGAGAAATTGGACTTGGTGAAAATTAAAAAGTTTTGTGCATCAAAAAACACTAGCAATGGAGTTAAAAAGGCAACCCACAGAATGGGAGAAAATATTTGCAAATCATACATCTGATATGGGATCAATGTCTATAAAATATAGAGAACTCCTAAAACTAAGTAATATAACAACCCAGTTAAAAAATGGGCAAAGACCCAGAGCTGCAAGACTGCTACTGCTGTAGTTGTTCTGGCCTGGGAACACAGCCCAGCAGCCTTGACAGTCTCTGGGTGTGTGACCTACCACTCCTCTCCCTTCCCCACCTGGAGTCACCTGAGCTGCTCCTGCTTGGGTCTAGAATCCCTCCTCAGCAGACTTCGTATTTTTCAGGTGCCTAAGCACCTGAAATCCCTCCTCCCCAGAGCCACCCCAGCTGCTGCCCCTGTGGGTTCTTTGGCCCAGGGACACAACACAGCTACTGCATGTGTGCCTGAAAACAGCTCTGTGACCACTCATCACAGGCTTCAAACCCACCACTACATGTACCTGAGGCTTACCCCAGCAGCTAGGCTACTGCATGCTGCCAGCCCTGGCTGTCACAGTTTTATGTCTATAAGTAGGTGATCTTGCCCCTTGGCTCCTGCCCCTACCACTGTGCTTGCAATCACAGATGGCCCTGCAGCTGCCCACATATACACAGATAGTCTAATTCCTGTCACCTAACCCTAGCTGGTCCCTGCAATTGAGGATAAGCAAGCTTCCAGCCCTGACCATCCCACATGTGCTCTTACAGTCTTGCCCATCTCCTGTTTCTGTCTCCAGCACTTACCCCAGTGCATGAGGCTACATCTGGATCTGCTGCCAGAGGCATGTCTGCAGCCAGCCTCTACACCAGAGGATGTGCATTTCACTGGCTCTGGCCTTCATTGTTGCTAGCCATGGCCCTTTGTTGCTGGACACAGAGGCACAGCAGAGGACTCCAGTAGCCCTTGCAGCCTCTGCAGACCTCCCACAACTTTTGCCGTCAAGGATCACACAGGTGCCAATGTCACAGACTCTTAACTGTCTAGGCTGACAAGACTCAGTGTCCCCCCTAGACCTCAAGTCACCACACACACACACCACTTGGTATCTTGTGCCCTTAGACCCCATGCCACAGCATGCCCCAGAGTGCCTCTCTCCTTCTCTACCCTCTCTCCACACCCACAGGTGAAGGTCTCTCCTTACTGATGGCAGCCCATAAAGTCTGGAAGAGGTAACTTTTTCATCAAATGCACAGACACCTTTGCAAGAATACAAGGATCATAAGGAATTTCGGAAAGATGATACCACCAAAGGAACCAATAAACTCTAGTAACTGACCCTAAAGAATTAGAGATACACGAATTGCCTGACAAATAGTTTAAAATAAGTTCACATTCAGCCTGGGCAAATAGTGAGACCCTGTCTATACAAAATATATGAAAATTAGCTGGATGTAGTGGCACGTACTGCAACTTCCATCTCCCACGTTCAAGTGATTCTCCTGCCTCAGCCTTCCAGGTAGCTGGGATTACAGGCGTCTGCCACCGCACCAGGCTAATTTTTGTGTTTTTAGTGGAGATGGGGTTTCATCATGTTGGCCAGGCTGGTCTCGAACTCCTGACCTTAAGTGATCCGCCTGCCTCGGCCTCTGAAAGTGCTGGGATTACAGGCATGAGCCACCATGCCTGGCTGACATACCTAGTTTTTAACATAGTGCCTTGACATAATAGGTAGTTGGTGAATGTTGCTGAAAGGAACATCTATTTCAATTATAAGCTTGCTTTAATGCCAGTTATGAGTTCTAAATGTTTACCTTAAACGGTTTAGTTATCATCTCCTCCAGGAAGTTTTTCCTGATTCCTACCCCCTATGATTTAGGTCCTCTCTTCTGAATTTACATGTCATAGCACTAATCACTCTGTGTATAATATATGGTGCTCCTTAAGAGAGGATATACTGTATCTTCCACATAGGTCCAAACAGCGTAGCACTTAACAGTGATTTGTAAATGTTTGTTAAATGTTAAAGGTAATAAATGAATGCAATAAGCATAATCACTAATTTTTTAGCTGTTTTTAAAATTATGAATAAATACTTTTTCTGGATTTAAAGAATTTTAGGGCAGCCATGACAGATACCGAGAGATTATCTATTCTCATCAGCAAACATTAATGAAAAAAAGTTTATCTTATTTTTTAGAAAAAGCTTTTTCTAACCTGTTAGATGGCTGATAAAAAAATATGAAGAGACTGGGAGTTCCTTATACATAATTAAGTAGTTCATTCTTGCAGATATTTCAATAATTCATATTTGAAATATACTTTTTTCAACAAAATTGGCTTTTTAGATACCTCCCTTTGAAGATGTTGTGGTTATAGGATTTTGTTTTCTGGAATTTTAAGAGGTTTGGGGATTCTCTACTTTGTGAAGGGAAAACGAATAATGGAGACACATGGAGAATATTAAAATCACTATCTTAGTATGAAGTAAGGTCCTGTTGTTATAGAAGGAGCTAATGTATTGAACAGGATTTGGAGAAAGAGGATGGATGTGGGACAGTAAAGTAAAAGGGGTAAGTATAGAAAGAAGTATATATAGAACATTCCCTTTTTTCTCCCCTGTGTCTCCCACCCCTTGTTCTTAACCTGATGCCTCAAAGGAGGGGGTGAGTACTAGGCAAGATTAAGCAAAGACTGAATTGATAGCTTACCTGATAGAGGATGTGAGAAGATTTGTCATACTCGTCCTTTGTTTCTTTTCAGTTGCCTGTGAATCTGGCTAGGCACTGTAAAAGAACATGTGGTATATCTTGTAAATCTTGAGCCTTTACCTATTTAAGACTAAGCCTCAAATTTAAAGGCAACTTCATTCTCCAGATATTTGACTACCTGAAACACAGCGGGAACTCAAGCACTGTTGTCCTAGTAAATGTGTTGTTTTGTGGAGGAGGCTCTTTCACTGCTCTAAAATGAGAAAGCATTGTGGATTTTTAAGCTGTTGACTAGCTTAAACCAGGAGATCTTAGATCTACGAACAAACTATTAAGGGAGGAGGACCAGTGTTTCCGTGAGAAGTAGAGTTAAGATGGCAGGTAAATGCTTCAGGGAAGGACCATTTATTTATTCATGCAACAAATGTATCTTCATTATCTTGTCTATTCAAAGCATTAGAAAGATTGTCTTAAAGTTGAGAGGGAAAATATGATTATGATTCTCTGCATTAATGCTTGGGTATGCCCAAGGAGGAAATGCTGACATTTGACACTAAGTCAAATGAGAAACATCTTGACTTTCTCATTTGGAACTCTTAGAATCACTAGATGAGCAGTTTTAAAAAGTGTTTCATGGGGTCCTGAGATCCTCTGGCTATACCCCAGGTGTCAACAGATACAAGGAAGAAAAGGCCAACTCCAAGAGCATTAAGCTCCCCATTGACCTCTCCCTGTATCAACCAGAGTAGTCCTACTTTTATGTATTGTAATATTTTGTTTGGGCCTAGGGGAGGGAGGAAACCCTATGAAAATAAGTTAGAAAACCGCCGATGACAGATTTTTAAGATCCTTCCAGCTTTAAAATCTATGATTCAACAACTGTCTAACCTCTGACATTCCCTCTAGCTAAATTTTTATGAGTCTTTTATTTTTGAGCCAGGGTCTCACTCTGTCACTCAGGCTAGAGTGCAGTGGTGCAAACAAGGCTCACTGCAACCTTGACCTCGTGGGCTCAAGTGATCCTCCTGCCTCAGCCTCCCAAGTAACTAAGACCAGCGGCACACCATCATGCCAGACTTTTTTCTTTTTTTTTTTTTTTTTTTTTATGTAGAGATGAGATCTGGCCATGATGCCCAGGCTAATTATGAGTCTTATATTTTGTTTCTATTAATGCTTTTCTGGCAAAATATTTATGTTATATTAGGTTATTCTACATAGACTGAAGGATCAGTTTCCCCATTTTATAACTTAAGTACATAGTGCCACATTTTAAAAGATAGAAATTTTATTTACTAAGTAATATTTATAGACTTTATTTATTGAACATAGGACAGACAAGCATGTAGCCAGATATCTTGCTTGGACCGTCTTCTTACCTAAGGCATGAATATTCAGCAGTATTTACAGCCCAGTCCAAAAGTTTTATATCTCAGTATTTCAGAATCACATTCTAACCTAGAGAATAACAGCCTAGTTCTTTGAAGCAGATGTTTTTAATACCTTTTCAATTGATGTTGCTGAAAACAAAATAAACAGAGCATATTCATCAGTGCTCAGCAGGTAGTAAATTCTCAGTAATTTTTACTGAATTAAAACATTATTATTACAACTCATATGTAAAACATTATTATTACATCTCATCTTCAGTTTACAAAGAGCTTTCATATGTAGTGTATTTCATGTTATCCATAACAATGTGAGGATAGTGTACCATATTTCACAAAGAGAAACCTGAGAACCACTGCAGTAAGGAAGTGGAAAGTTTAGAAATGCTACCATTGCCTCCACCTGCCAAATATAAATTAATGTGAGCTTTTTGAGAGACGCATAACTTACTTTGTCTCTGACTTCTCCAGTTGTACCCATTTTCTCATTTGTTTTGCACTTACTTGTATACTATATGCTGGGGAAAAAGACAAAAATCCCTGTCTTTATTTAGTTTGTAAGCATTCTTCATTTCCCGAAGGTTGGAGACCTTCGGTCTACAGGTATCACAGAAAGTTTAGGAAGTATGTAAGCCTTAAAAGGAAAAAATAGTAAGCTTTACTCTAGCAAATGAGTTTATTTGATAAAAATTTTATAACGCTTATGTCCTGTTGTTATTATTATAACTTATTCTTAGAATTTGATAGGCCAAAATCAATATGAAACTAATCAGGACTTTCCTTAAATAGCAAATCACCGATGTTCATATGGTTAGTGATAGCGATGGAGATGACTTTGAAGATGCTACAGAATTTGGGGTGGATGATGGAGAAGTATTTGGCATGGCGTCATCTGCCTTGAGAAAATCTCCAATGAGTGAGTATTAATAGCTCTTTGGGTCCAGCAATAGAATTCTTTCTTCTAGTACACAAACTTATGAAGAACATTAAACTTAAACATCTCTTACTGACCTCCAGGTTTGAGGAGATAAGATAATAGAGAGTAGGCATTCTTCATTAGAACCAGAGCCTTTTGAATTTAGATTTTATTAAACTCAAAAATTCTCAGTGCATTAGGAAAATTCATTAAAAATGCAAGGTAGTGTAACTTTTGTTTTACATGTATAATGAATTATGACTGTCTCTCTTTAAACCTAGAGGCTGATTAACAAACAGGTGTACTTTCTGTGACCGATACTTGTTTCCCCACATCTTATTAGAGATATCAGTTTTAAGAGTAATAATGTTACTTTTCTATTCAACGGTACCCATCTTTGGAAGGAAAAAAGTAAACTAAATGTACCATCTCTTTCACTTCCACTTACAAGATGTGTACTATAGAATAACAAGACATGCTACGTGCAAAATGACCACTAAAATAATAATGGCCTATTTACTTTGTGAAATTAGAGAACTCCTGTGGGCAGAAATAGATGTGATGTTTACATAAAATTGGTTATTTTCCCAATTAATGAAGTCTTTAAAATAATATCAGACCCATTTAATATAATTTAGTCACAAGATGTCTATTTCAAGAAAACATTGAAATCCTAAATGACAACTGGGCACATATTTTAAATGCTTAGCAGGATTGTGTCCATTGGTTTTTCAAAATTTATGAGCTTGGAATATTTTAAGGTTCTTTTTGATTCTGGTTTGATGAGATCTAATATATGTTGAGTTAAACTATCCCCTCAGATATATCACAGAAGCTAAAATTTAATTTTATTTCCTCTTTATTGATTGAATATATTTCTTATATGTGGGATTAGATGTTATGTGGTTTGTTTTTGTGTCTATTTGTTTTGTTTTTTTGTTTTTGTTTTTTCTTTTGTTTGTTTTTTAGTGCCAGAAAACGCAGAAAATGAAGGAGATGCCTTATTACAATTTACAGCAGAGTTTTCTTCAAGGTAGGGTTAGGACATTAACTATATAAATTTGATGCTGTTTTATGCTACTGTGATTTTTCTTGGGCAATTTTAATTATAGATTGTTTAAAGTTTCTCCTTAAAGTATTCAAAGGATATACTTGTTAATTTATATAGTCCTAATAGTGAAACACATAAATAACCAGTAAACCATTTATGCCACTTTAGAGATAGATTCAACTTATTTCTGTATGTTTATGGACGTTCAATAAATGGATCCTAATTTAATATTTTTATTATATTCCCAAAGGACTAGGATATAGGATAGTAATTTTTAGTATATCTTAGGACAGTCAAATGGAAAATCCTTTAAAATAATATTAAATTTAAAAATACTTTAAACATTTTAAATCCAAGTGAATTTTTTCCTTTATTTTTTTCTTTTGGAATTGCTTTACATTTCTTCCTTAAGTGTCAAATATAAAATATTTTATATGCATTTGAGAGTCTGCTGAGGTATTCAAATATAAAGAGAATTAATGTTTAATCCTCAATTTGGTGTAAATGATATTGTTTTAGTGATATTTTCTGTTGAAATATAATATGGAGACTTTTAAAAGAAACAGTTTTTTCCTTCTATTGGAATTCTGGAATAAATGAACTGAAGTGGGAAAATAAGGCTAATGTAACTAGTAAAATCATATGAAAGTGAGTAACCAAGAGTTTCTTCTTATAAATGGCATGGTTTTATAGCACTTATTAAATTCATTTGCTAAGTGTACTTAAAATTCCAGTATTTTAGTATATCAGTATAGGCCAAGAAGAATTCTAAAAACCAATAAAGCTCATTTCCAAGCTTTTAAAGAAATGTTTTTATGTTTAGTATGCACTAGACATTAGCCCCAACATTTACTTAAAAGTCATTGATTAGACTTGTGAAATCTGAAGTGAATTTGAAAAGTATTTTAATTAATAGACTCACTTTTTCCTATAGATATGGTGATTGCCATCCTGTATTTTTTATTGGCTCATTAGAAGCTGCTTTTCAAGAGGCCTTCTATGTGAAAGCCCGAGATGTAAGTACAGTTTGACCTTTTCTGATTAAAAAGTGCATCCCACAGGTTTACCACTAGGGCTGAGGCAATGCTTAAATGTTTTCTGTTTTTGTTTTTGTTTTTTTCCAAAAACATGGAACTCTTCACGAATTTGTATGTCATCATTGTGCATGGGCCATGCTAATCATCTCTGTATAAGTCCAATTTTAGTATTATGTGCTGCTGAAGCAAGCACCGTTTTCTGTTTTCATTTTGAGATTGGAGACTTTATTTGTTTCTGGTTCATCTGCTAACCTAGTCTTCACCAAGATACCCATTTCACAAGGGACATTAATGTGATAGGGGTACTGCTGGCTCTTGCAGAAGGCCTTGTGAAGCACTGAAATAGGGTTTTTTTTTAAATGGGAAAAAAGGTGGATGTGCTTAGAAGGGACCAAGCTACATATTTGTATTCTTTTCAGTTACGCAAATGACTAGTTCTTGATAGATTTGTTCTTTAGTCTTTTCCCAAAATGATTATTCTGTGTAGTGATATATATCTAACAACTGCAATATTTTTCCCCAAAAGTCACTTTGGGCCCCTGCCCACCCCCCCAAAAAAAGGTTTTAAACATAGAAATGGACTTTGTGATCTTGAAGTCTATAAGAAGAAGCCCATAACAAGAATTTAGAAGATAAGTTTTGAGCAAGAAGATTCTAATCACTATTTGTATGTTGTCACAGCAGTCAAGACATCAGCAATCTGGCTCCTGCCTATCTATGTAGCTTCAGCTCTTCCCATTCCCTGCCTCACACTTAATAAATAAATCTGGCAATAGTGTACCATTTGTATTGCCCCATAATCTTACTCTTTCTTCATGCTTCCCCACTGCTAGAAATGCCTTTCATTCTGCTCTTTACCTGGATGACTCCTCCTCCTCCTCTGAAACTTACCTTTTCCACCTCCTCCCCTTCTCTCACATTGGCAGCACCTACCCCTTTAGCACTTCCCAGTGAAAAACCCTCTGCTTATCTCTTATTGTTACACTTAACACAGTGTTTATAATTATCCATTCTACATATGTCTTCCCAGGAGTTTTGATTTTCTTTTGGCAGGGACTATCCTTTATGTCCCTGTACTTAGTAAAAATTCAGTAAATGTTTAATAAATCAAGGAATAAAGAAAGGGAAGAAGGAAGGAATAGTGTGTACATGGAGTAGAGGGGAAAGCTGTTGGAATTAAAGAGGGCAAGGAGTTTGAGAACAGAGTGCAAGGATGCCTCTGAGATTTCTATTTTCTAGAGTATGTTAAATTCTGATACAAAGAAAAATTCATTTAAAAATAAATTTTAAAAATCAAATTCCAAGATGATTAATCAAATTAGAGCTATAATTGACAGTCTAATGAATTTAGAGTAAGAAACTTCTTTACCCTAAGAATAGCAGAATAGCCCTTTTAAAAGCTGTTTTAAGCAATTATGTTTCAACTGTTCAATCTATATAAAAATGGCTGTTTTTAAAGAATTGCATGTTTATGGCAATATATGTTTATGGTGTTCATAAATATAGGTTTATGGAAAATACTGGGCTGGATGTGATGGCTCATGCCTGTAATCCAGCACTTTGGGAAGCCACGGCGAGTGGATCACTTGAGCTCAGGAGTTCAAGATCAGCCTGAGCAACCTGGTGAAACCCCATCTTTACAAAAAATCATACAAAAATTAGCCAGGCCTGGTGATGCATGCCTCTAGTCCCAGCTACTTGGGGGGCTGAGGCAGGAGGATTGCTTGAGCCCAGGAGGTGGAGGTTGCAGTGAGCCAAGATCATGCCACTGCACTCCAGCCTGGATAATAGGTGATATTCTTTCTTGGAAGGAAAAAAGAAAATACCGAAAAGCAAAGAGAAAGTATTCTAACACAGATTAACTGTTAACTTTGTTATGCTCTTTGCATATTATTGTATGTTTAGTTGACCATATATATGGATTTTTAGTATAAAATTTAGTCATGTTATAATCCTGTAATAACAGCTTTTTTTACCTTTTAATATTATATGATCACTTTCTTAATTATAACTTCTTTTATAGTATTTTAACTTTTTATTATAAAAAATTATTTAAATTTTAATACAGAAAAAGTACTATAGTACAATAAATAGCCAAATCCCCTATACCTACCTTTAATAATTAGGAAAATTTTGCCATATTTTTATCTTCCATATATAGGCATCTCAAAGTCTTAATGGAGTTTTAAGGCTTAATGACTTAAAAGGATTAACTGCTACAGATTGACAAAAGAGCAGCATTTGAAATTTATTTATATTTTTATACTTATTTGGATTTGTGATTTTGATGAATAAATTTTTATAAATTTTTGTTTCAGTTCCTCTGATTAAAAATGACAAATGTTGACTGGAACAGAAAATAAATTAAAAATTTATTCAAAATTCACAAAAACAAACAAGTATAAAATAAATATAAATAATTAAAACTTCAAATAAATTTTAATAGTTTTTAGCAGTTAAGCTTTTGAAGTTATTGAAACTTAAACTGCACAGAAACATTTAGGGTATACTGTATATTTATTATTTTTTGCTAAGCCATTTCAAAATAAATTATAGATGTCATACTTTACCCCTAAAAACTTCAGCATGCATTTTCCAAAAATAATGATATTCTCCTACATAATCACAATACCATTTTCACATATAACAAAATTAACGATAATTCTCTAATATTATCTACTATCCAGTGCATATACAAACTTCACCAGTCATCCCCAGAATTTCTTTTTAGCTGTTTTTTTTGGAACCACAATCCACTCAAGGATCACAAGTTATATTTGAGTATTAGATATCTTAAATACCTTTTAAGCAAGCACCATCTCTCCCCATTTTTTCCTCCTGGCGTTTGCTTTGTGAAGAAATCAGACCGGATGACTTGTAGATGGTTCCAAATTCTGGATTTGTGTGATTGTTTCCTTGTGATATTATTTTTCTGATTTCCTGAAAAATGGATATTAGGTCTAAAAGCTTTGTTAGATTTAGGTGACATGCTTTGTAAAATAATGCTGAATATTTTATTTTAACAGGATTTTTAATGGTTATGGAGTCTCATTGTATGGCCATGTTGTTATATTTAAACAATCACTTATTAGACATAAATATGTTTGAAAGAATATCTAATTATAGTTTCAAAATAATGTATTTTTCAACTTATTCTTTGATAATAGTGCATTTCTCTGCTTACCAGTAGTTGAAGTAACCAGAAAATGTCACAGCCTTTTGTAACTTAAACTGTAGCTCCCAAAATAGGTATAGATATTTTTAAAAGCCCATTTCCAAAGCTTCTGTAAGATATACTATGTATACCTCACACATTTTAGCTTTAAATGCAGATAACTTACACTTAAAAATACAGTATATCGTAGACAAAAGAACTTTTACTAAGTGTCTTGTACAGTAAATTGGCATTTGGATTTATTCAGACTGATAATCCCCTGAGGAATATAAGCTCTTGTTTATTAACTCCTGGATATTTCTAATGAAACAATTGATTGTTTGCTTTTCTTAGTGTCTAGGTGTTTTAGCAGATGAAAAATTATTGGTTCATGTAATTAAATATTTTGCTTCCTATTAGATTTGTAACCAAAATCCACTGACCTCTCTGGACTGATAAAAATGTCTTTATTTCTTTGTCCAGGGCTTTCTTCTTTCCTCATTTCTCTTTTCCAAGTTACAGATCAACAGTTTATGTACAGTTTATTACATTTCTATAAACTAAAGTTTAACTCCATGAGAGATAAATTATTCAAAATTAAATCTAAACAGGTTCATTTATTGAAGTCATCAAGCAGATTGTATACATCTTCTTTTAACTGTGTACGTATAGTAATTGTAATGTTACCTCAGAATTCTGTGATGCTCTGTGGTTTATAAAACATGTTCCTATACATATCTCATTTGAACTCCACAACCAAACAGTGAAATAGGGATATATAATCCTCATATTCCCATTTTAGAGATGAGAAAGTCCAGAAAAGCTACATGACTTGCCTACAACACACTGATAGTAAGTAGTAGGGACCAAATAAGAGCTCACATGTTCCATGACAGGTAAATATGGTTTACACTATCCCACCACACTTGAGTTTTCATTGCTAACTGCTGTACTTCAGGATTTAATAATCAAACTTCATCTCTCCTTTTCATATTTCACACTTGAGAGTTAAAACAGATTTTGCTCAAGATTATTTTTTAAAATTTTTGAATGAATCGTTTTTCAGAAAACAGTTTGCTCATGTTCAAACATTTTAAGGCAAATATGACGGATACTGTGGCACTCTTACTAAATTTTCTTCATCTTAAATATCACATGTTTAATTTAAACTGTGGGAGGGGAGGTACATTAATTTTACCAGGGCAACAGATGAGCCTCAAACACCAGCATTCTTCACTTGAAGTGAGAAATTGAGTTCCAAGAGTAAATAAAAACAAGATTGAAGGTTTAAATCCTCTGCTAGGCTTTTTGAACTTATATACTCATTAAATGTTTATTGGAGTGGTGGGATTACAAAGGATTTGGGGAGCTTCATCAACTGGTATATAGTTAATCACTAAGTAAAACACTACATTTGATAAAGTGTTTCTCACGATGCCACATTCAATCCATCTTAATGAAAACTGCTTCAAACTGATTTCATTTGAGAGCACTTGGTGGTGAGAGTACTCATCGTTCTTTTTGCCTTTTTTCTTGAGGAATTTACAGTACTGTACGAAGCAGAGCTTCCAACTTTGGTAAAGTAGTTATTCTAAGTTTTCATGTTTCTTTTAAGTATATCGTGACAAAGTATTGACTTCTGATAATGTACTGATCAGTTTTATGACTTCCTTCCTTGCCCTTAACTATGAAGGACACTCATCCAGTTGAGGGCTATAAATGTTTATCACATGCTCTCTAAGGATCTGGGAAATAGAGGTTTCCTGCTTTTGCTCAGTCTAATGAGGTAAATAAAACAATATAAACAATCCATATAGTATAATATACCATAGAAGCAAAGAGAAGAGGTACCTTCAACTACCTTAGAAGTTCAGGGGAAAGATTTCTTTTCTCTTCTCTTCTCTTTTCTTTTCTTTTCCAGATGGAGTCTCACTCTGTCACCCAGTTTGGAGTGCAGTGGCGCCATCTCGGCTCACTGCAAACTCCGCCTCCTGAGTTCAAGCGATTCTCCTGCCTCAGCCTCCTGAGTAGCTGGGACTACAGGTGCGTGCCACCACGCCCTGCTAATTTTTGTGTTTTTAGTACAGACGGGGTTTCACCATGTTGGCCAGACTGGTCTTGAACTCCTGACCTCAGGTGATCCACCCGCCTCAGCCTCCCAGAGTGCTGGGATTACAGGCATGAGCTACCGCGCCCAGCCTAGGGGGAAGATTTCTAGAGGACGTACCTCTGACCTGAATCTTAAATGATGAGAAAAACTTAGGCAAATAACAGAATTCTAAACAGAAGGAAGAACAAAAGTAAAGGCAATGGAAGATTAAAGTGAGGAAACGACAACCAGTTTGGTATTACTGGAGCAAAAAAATGCAGGACGGAGTTGCATTGCTAGGCATGATGCTGATAAAATCAGTGGGGGCCAAGGCATGAAGGGGCCTGTGATGCCCTGGCATTAGCTGACATTTAAAATCTGTTTTTAGGCTGGGCATGGTGACTTACACCTGTAATCCCAACACTTCGAGGGGCCAAGGTGGGAGGATCGTTTGATCCCAAGAGTTCTAGACCAGACTGGGCAACATGGTGAGATCACCATCTCTACAAAAAAAAAAAAAAGAAAAACGAACAAACAAAAACAGTTAGTCAGGTGCGGTGGCATGTGCTTATGGTCCCAGTTACTCAAGAGGCTGAATCAGGAGCATCACTTGAGCCCAGAAGGTCTAGCCTGCAGTGAGCCATGTTTGTGCCACTGCACTCCAGCCTGGGCAAGAGAACAAGATCATATCTTGGTGCAGGGGTGGTGGCGGGGGGGGGGCGGTGCGGAGATGAGTCTTTTTTTTCCTTGGGGCCTCCCCACCTCTCATGCCTACTGTCCCTGAATTCTCTTCTTCTACACCACCAAAAGTACCCTGGAGAATCATTAGACATTTATAGTAACTAAAAATCAACAGGAATAAAAATCTCAATGGCAGGGCTTATCTCCCATGTGAAGGATTGTTCCTTTCCCAAGCATCCCTTTGGGAGTCTGAGCTTTGATATTAGTAATTTCATTACAGCTCCAAAGATCTGACTTCACACCAGTGCTTTTTCCAAATATTATACATAAATTAAGGGACTCAGTACTCAATTGCTGATTTCCCACTTAGTAGCTCTGTGGCCCTAAACAAGTAATGAGCCTATGTCTAATATGGAAAAAACATGATGATGATAGTATTTACTTTATAGAGGTTGTTTTGAGACTTAAGTGGGATGCTACCCATAAATGCACCCAGCACTGTGGATAAGACAGATGGTGCCATTAAGCAGTTTTGGACAAATTTGAGAAATGTTTGTAAAATAACAAAACTGATTTTCTCATTCAATTATGAACTAGTTCTAGGAACAGTTTCAGAAAGGAATTTTGAGAACCCCATGAACATTTCTACCACAAAAATTAGTAGTTCACGTTTAACAGTGCTCTTAGTTATCAAATTTTATTATATTTATTTTTTAAATCAGCCCATTTTAAAGTCATGCTATTTCTACTGCTTCGTGTTGAAAGAAATCTAAATGCCATCATTGCTCATTGTCTTTTAAGAAAAATAAGTTCTATACAAATTTGAGGCCACAGCTGTAGTTGGTAAGTTTCTAGCTCACCACACAATATCCAGAAAACCAGGCAAACAAACTTCTTTGTGCTTTGGAAAATATGCCCAGTCTGCTTATCTTGTCTGTGTTATTTTTTCCATTTAAATTCCTTAAAGTCAGGACAATGTCTTTTATAGTAATTTTGTATGACAGCTGGGACAGCATCCTGCACATGTGTGAAATAAGACTTAGAATGCTAATTTTTTTTTTAGAAAAATATATTTGAATTATACAAATAATGTATTTGCTGTAAGAGAATGAAAATACAGATGCATTTTAAGTAGAAAATGACACCACATAATTCCAAACCTGAAAATAACCACTATTTATTAAATGCTTTTACTTTCTAAATGTGATTTTTAAAAAAATCTATAAACATGTATATCAGTCAAAAAGCTGATATAGTTTATATAAATACAACCATACCAAACCTGCTGTTCTGTAATTAGATATTTCTACTAAATAGTATATTTGTTAGTACCACTTAGAATTTGCCTTTAATTCTCCAATTATCAGATCTGCCTAATTAAAATTGCAAAAATCTTTAGTGCCCATATTAAAATTATTTCTTAAATTAGTTCAAAACTTACTAGTTTAGACATACACTGCCATTTGGCTGGGCGCAGTGGCTCACGCCTGTAATCCCAGCACTTTGGGAGGCCGAGGCGGGTGGATCACGAGGTCAAGAGATCAAGATCATCCTGGCTAACACGGTGAAACCCCGTCTCTATTAAAAATACAAAAAATTAGCCGGGCGTGGTGGCGGGTGCCTGTAGTCCCAGCTACTTGGGAGGCTGAGGCAGGAGAATGGCGTGAACCCAGGAGGCGGAGCTTGCAGTGAGCCGAGATCATGCCACTGCACTCCAGCCTGGGTGACAGAGCGAGACCCTGTCTCAAAAAAAAAAAAAAAAAAAAAAAAAAAAGAGTTAATACAACTCTATATGCTTAAACACAGCTTGTTTTTATGATATATAATATTCTACTTAGAAACCTGTTTGTCAGACAATATTTGATGGTATTAAAAAGCTACTGAACATGTATACCCATAAATCATTGTAATTCTTATGATTTTCAGTAAGAATGCATTATTAATATATTTTTAATGAAAAATTATTAATTTATCTTCAAGTCTTTACTGCTATACTCTGTCACCTTTTGGAATGTGGAAGTAGATATAAGTAGGCTATGGGTTCTTGTTCTCTTCCTCAGTGTCCTAAAAGTGGGGGCGAGGAGTACACTTGACATTCGCACTCCTTTTGTCATGCTTGTTTAACAGGCCTATTGCTGACTAGGAGTAGTGTTATCCCTCCCCATAGAGAATAGTAAAGGGTTAGAAAAATCCTTCCTGCACTTTTAAGAGACTACTGTACCAAAGTCCTTAGTACTGTGTCTAAATGTTTACCTGGAAAACCAATGAGAGTTGGCCTGACACTGCCTACTTCCTTGCCTACCCAGTCCCTCTTCCAGCCTCCCCAAAGAGCATGCCTGCTTCTCTGTAACTTGCTGTAAGAGCCAATCGTTTCAGCTTCTCATGTCCTTATTCATAAAAACTTTTGCCACATGGTGGCCTTCCTCAAATATATTGTATTACCTGAGTATTACAGTCTAAGCAATGAAAACTGATAAAGATCTATACCCAATGAACATCTGTCAGCTTATTTTGAGAGTTTGATTTTACTTTAGGCTTTTCTTTTTTTAGACAGAGTCTCGCCCCGTTGCCCAGGATGGAGTGTAGTGGCACAATTTCAGCTCACTACAACCTCTGCCTCCCAGTTTCAAGCAATTCTACCTCAGCCTCCCAAGTAGCTGGGATTACAGGCGCACCCCACCACACCCAGCCAATTTTTTGTATTTTTAGTAGAGATGGGGTTTCGCCCTGTTGGCCAGGCTGGTCTTGAACTCCTGACCTCAGGTGATCCAACTGCCTCGGCCTCCCAAAGTGGTGAAATTACAGGCGTGAACCACTGCACCTAGGGAAGGCTTTGTTTTGTTTTTTTTTTTTTTGTTTTTAACCCTCTGACTTCCATATGACAGTGCTCCCTATGCAAGATTCAGATATCTGTGTCCTCAAGATTTCAGAATGCTATCCCAACATCTGCTCAGAAAGTGAGGGGAAAAAGACACCATCCTGGCATCTCCTCATCTTCAGTAGCTGACTTTTTCTTTTTGGAACCTCTCCAATTTGGTTGATGCTTGTTGGTCTCTGAAATCACATTCAGGAGCTAAACAGGGCTAAGTTTTGTGATTCTTTTCACAATACAACCTGCACTCTGGTGTTTTACTCTTTAAAGATAACTAGCTTGGAGTTCTTTGAACATATGGGGCCATTGACATTGCTGGGCCTTTCCCAAACTTTTCCTTTGTTTTTTATCTTTTTTACTCTTCTTTTTCTCACTCTCACGTATATTTAAAATTCCGCTTCAGGCCAGGCACAGTGGCTTACGCCTGTAATCTCAGCACTTTGGGAGGCCAAAGCAGGCAGATCACCTGAGGTCAGGAGTTCAAGACCAGCCTGGCCAACATGGTGAAACCCCATCTCTACTAAAAACACAAAAATTAGCCGGGCATGGTGGCAGCTGCCTGCAATCTCAGCTACTCAGGAGGCTGAGGCAGGAGAATCACTTGAACCCAGGAGGCGGAGTTTGCAGTGAGCTGAGATGGTGCCATCAGCCTGGGCAACAGAGCAACACTCTGTCTCAAAAAAAAAAAAAAGAAAAGAAAAATTCAGCTTCAGTCACAGAGAAGTCACTCTCTCCTGCTTTTACTGTGGTTTGTTTGTTTCTACTTATAGCATTGATGTCCTACTTTTAAAATTCAGCTCAAGTATCACCTTCGCAGGCCAGGTGTGTAATCCCAGCATTTTGGGAGGCCAGGTCAGGAGGATCACTTGAGCCCAGGAGTTCAAGACCAGCTTGGGCAACATAGTGAGACCCCATCTCTATTAAAAACAATTTTTTTTTAAAGTATCATCTTCATAAAGAAGCAGCCAATCTGATGTTCATGCCTAGAACCCAGGACTTCCTCTATTACTACTCATTACTACTGATTTGCCAGCCTTACTTCCTCACTACTCCCATCTAGAAAAGAGTTTTAACAGACTTCTGACCTTCAGAACTGTATGCCACCCAAGCACAAAAGTGTAGTGACTTTCCCAAGGTCACATAGCAGGGCAATGGCAAAGCAGGAATTTGAATCCAGATAGTGTGGCTTCCTACTCTCCTGCTTGTGTTCTCACATTGCACTTATCTTGAGTCATGATTGTATGCTATGTGGTACCTATGAACATCCATATACAAGAATAGCATTGTAGAAGTTGGCAAGTACTGGAATGATCCAAATTAGATGCTGGATTTAAAACAATAAATAAAACAGCTACAAAGGACATGTGGGAGTACTTGGGGGAAATTTGAATATGGACTGTTTATTAGATGATATTGTAACAATATTAAATGTCTTAGGTGTGATATAAATATGATGATTATGTAAGGGAATGTATTATTCTCAAGACATTTCTTTAGGGTAGAAGTGTCATAGTGTCTGCAAACATTCAGATGTTTCAGGGAAGTATTAAAAGAATGATAAAGCAAATATGGCAAAATGCTAATGATTGGTAAATCTAGGTGAAGAATAAATAGGTGTTTATTGTATCATTGTATCCATTGTTTGTATCAATGAGCCATCTCCAAACTTAAAAAGTGATAGTGATAATGATTCTGATTACTGATGATAATGATGAGGGAAAAGGAGAACAGAAATGGGAAGGAGAGAAAGCAAGTCAGGTCCAATTTACACAAGGAAATTATTTTATACTATAGTTTTAACACTGAAAAAAACTATGAACTACATTGTACCATTCCCAGAAATTGTCATATCAACTTTAAAAGCATTGAACATGCAGATTATGGATATTCTGGTACTCAAAATACAACCCTTTCTTTTTAGTTCATCAGCAAATATTTCCTTAGTATCTGCTCTCTGCCTGGCTTATTTTGAGACACAGCACATTTCTTCCAGCTCTAATATTCTATGGTTCTGTGACACTAAGAGTCTAAATACAATAGCTACTGTAGCTCAAGGCCAAGTCACATTGGTTGCTGTCAGCTGGGCATTTCTTAAGCATCAACTTAGTACCTTAGCTCCTGGATTTGAATGTGAAGATTAGTGAGGCACCGAACTCAGAGACACAATAAGCATCCCAGACACTATTGCCAGTAGGAAAAATGAAGGAGCTGCTTAATCTTTAATACATTTTCATGGCCATTATTTCTCTTGAAATTGCTTTCAAAACCCTTTATTTTGCATGGATAGTTCAGGAATCTTCATCCTAACAGCTACCTTTCATTCAGCACCTACTATGGGCCAGGCCTTGTAAATAGGTACTTAACCTACATTATCTGCGATGCTTACAACAACCCATTTGCCCCATGGTCACACAGCTGCTAAATGGCAGAACTGGATTTAGAACAGAGCTCTCTGTTACTTTAAAGCTTGGAGACTTCCTTTTGCACTGTGTTACTAAAACTTAGATTACAGAGAGGGAATCAGGAGAATGTAGCTTGGTTGTTTGCCTTTGTGGTCTGCCAGACTTAGACCCTCTCTGCCAAATTAGAAAGGACAAATAAAATATATTCTTTTTAATGCCCCAATATTATCATTTGTTAGATGGTATACAATTAAACGTTTGCCTCCGCACATTCTTTCCCACAACTTTTTGAGGGTAAGGAAACTGTTTCATTCATCTTTATAGTCTCAATCGCTAATACATAGGTACTCTTCAAATGTTATTGAACTAAATTATTAAATGGGCCAAAGGAAAAACTGGTTATAGTAATAGAAATCAAAACATTTTCTTACTCGTTTTCTGTGGTACTGCTTTCTTCACGAAAGCAGTTTTCTGATTAGTTTGCCATTTCAACTCTTCCAAATTGGTTGATATGCTTAATCCAGTTCTCACTCTTTTGGCCTGTGCTTAATTGAGCTCAGTAAGATAATCAGAAATCTGAGTCTGGAGTCCATTTATCTGTGACTGTAATTTAATCAGATTTATATAGCCTAAATTTACTAGCACTTCCATACTATTGAGTCTTTATATTTTGCTTATTTATTGTTATAAAAGCAGCAGAAAATTTTTTGTTGAAAGCTTATGTCAGAGAAAAGATTATTTTAAAATTATTAGTTTTCCTTTTGAAAGCTACTTTGGGGTACCCACAGCCTGAAGATTCTCTTGTGATACTCTTTTTATCATCTCCTTTCTCACATTCAGTCTAAAGCTTAAAGTGGGAATTTTTTTTTTAAGTGTGTTTTCCTGGCATCTCATGTTTAACAGTGTCAGGGGTTTGTGTCCCTGGAACGAAAACTGTTTCTCCAGAGTCTTTTTTCTCTCAGCTTCCAGTGAAAAGAGGGGCGAGGCGAGCCAGTCGCTTACCACAAAGCAGTGCCACCACAAAGGAAAGATTAAGGGTTTAGAGAGAGGTCAATGTGGGTTTTTCTCTAACTAAACACTTTCCTAAAGTTTCCTTGTGGAAAAATAATGAAGTCATCTCAGAGTTTTTAAAGAATTTTTATTTCTTTTTCACCGTCTGCATTCGCTTGTCTTCTCAGCATGGATGTTTAATCTTCCTAGGCTTTGTGAATTGGCCCAAATGAATAAGTGGTGAGCTGTCTCTCTAGGAGCTAGAGGCTTATTCTAAGGGCCTAATCACTGAGTAAACACATCTTTGCCCTCCCTCTCACAACTGCGATATAATAGTCGAGATTCTAGCACAGTAACCTGGATATTGCAGGGACCAATGCTTTGAAATGCAGAATGGTTGATCCTCCAAAACAGACAGTGCCTGATCTTCGCCTGTCTCTTTCTTCTTTTTTAAATTAAATATTGCCAAAGAGATGCCGTTTTATTGCTTGATATTGTGCATTAGTGCCCTGGATTTCCAAGTTTAGTTTCAGTCAACACTGTCGGCTGCACTTATAGAGAACTCTGCATGTTGGGTTTCTTAGTAGCCTCTTCGGCACATGTGTGTTTGGTTTGGAAGAGCATTTAAATTAAATCAGTGAGATAGCAATGTAAATCACTAATCTCTTTCCCAAAGTCTAAATGTTCCATTGCAGTGTTCTTGAGAGAAATAGGCATTTTAAAGATTTAGCCATTGCCATTGTTTAGTTAGAAATATGCTGATTTAAAAGTGGACAGCTCTCTTTTTCCCACTGTCTCATTAAATGTAGTTGCTGAGATACGATCAAGCTGAATTAGGGGTTGACATCCCTCTGTCTGTTCAGTTAGAGAGCTCCTAAGAAGAAGAGTTCTGAATTTGTTAATGGTGCCAGGTTCACATTACTTTCCCTAAAGCATCAGAATTCTTGATTCATTTACTAAAACTGATTTTACATTGCCATTGCTATTGGGTATCTTTTTTGCCAAGGGGCTGTGGCTTGTATCAGTGTTCTTGTTTCTTTCATCAAACAGGCTGGGACCCAGGCTAGTTTAAAGATGCAAAGAAGACTGAAAGAGACCTCATTCTCTCTTTTGAGAAATTTAGTCTAGAGGGGAAACTGGTAAACAGTTATAATACTAATGGAAGGAGATAGAGGCCCAGGAAAGGAAGCTCTTAACTCTGCCTGAGGGAATCACGGAAGGTTTCATAGAGGCATTTGTTTTGAGCCTTATAGGATGAGTAGGAATTTACTAGATAAGTATCTCTCTAACAATGTATCTGATTACAAACTTCCTAGAAGGCTGATACTGTTCTCTGCAGACATCAACATAGATGAAGAAACCCCGAGTCTTTCTTGTTCACCATTTTATTGCCACTGCTTCCTGCTGAGCCTGACACAAAGAGCATTTCAACAAATGCTTGTTGAATGAATGAATAAATGAATTAACACATAGAAGCAGGGTGGGATCAGCTGAGCTACTTATACCCAGGAGTCCTGCCCTTATTCCCATTACAAGCTGTCTCTGAGTCTCAGCCCAAAGCAGTCTGGCATCTTCATGTTATATGAGTGCTTCCATAAGCCTTGACTACAGTGTGGTTGATTTCCCTGCTACCACTGTAGTATCAGAGAAAAAACACTTACTTGGACTTGGAGTTAGACAATCTGAGAGCCAATCCTCGTTGTATTAGTTACTAACTATCTGTGACATTTGGGACAAGTCCGCTTTCTAAACCTCAGTTTCCTCATATGCTAATGGGGTTAAGGATGCTATTTTAAAGATTTATTCTGGAAATTAAAGTAGATAATGGTTGTGAAAGTAACAGTGTCTCCTATTCATAGTAGATGCTTTTAGAATCTTAATCTACCTAACTGTGGCTACCCTCATCTATTACGAAATTTACCTTTGAAGAAAACAATTTTAATGATGATTACTATTACTATTATTTGGATTCTTTATCTAGATAATTCCTAACATCAGATTTCATTAGCCTTTCATCAGCATGAGCCTTATATTTTTCTGTAAGTTTCCTTCTTTTGTTCAGAATCCCACACAGCAAATTTTCATTTGCTGTCATCACATTCTTATTTAACTTGAAGGGAAAGATACTAAGCTTCCTTGAAATTTTCCTTTGACAGAATTTCAAAGATTGGTTTGTATGTTGTCTTTACCATAAAATTTCATCTTTCCTTTCCCTGGTAATTGTGAGTATTGTTAAACTCAGCTCTTCTTTGAGGTAGTACCAAGAAGTTAGTCAACAATTTAAGCTCTTTAATCATTATAGTCATTGTTGGTAAAGCTAACATGTTGCAAACCATCAATGGCTACTTATAGCCATTGTTTTTATTATACCTATTACCTTGTTCAGTTTCAGTTTTTAGTTTTAATTATTGCATTGAGTATCCAACTATGACAGAAGACACATTTAAGAGACCAAGTGTCATTTATTGAAAGCAACTTTTATTATGGCAAAAGGGAAAGAATAATTTTCTATATGAAGAGCCACAGTGGACATTTTCTGAAATATAAACTAGAAAGAATGCATGTGAACTGAATATTTTTCTATCTCTTCAAATGTCAATTACATGTCACATGCTGATAAATAAGGGCTTAATATGAGAATACATTAAGGACTTTAAAATTATCTATAGAACAAAAAGAAAACTTGATTTCAGACCTTTTCCTTTCAAATGGAAGAGACTATCCATTGTTCAGATTAAAACCATAAAAAATATGTAAGAGGAATTTTGTCATTCTGTTTTAAAGAATATTTTTTCTCTGTATTGTTGAACAGTTCAAAGTTAATATTTCTCTTTACATATATCTATTAAATGAAAAGAATAGTAAATCCATTTCCTTTAAGCAAAATACAATTCCTTTGCAACTTCATTTGAGATAGGCTTGCACATGTCAACAGAAATCTGCAATAGCAGTCTGCAGAATTAGATATAATCATCCCAGCCTTTTTAAAGTGTAAGAAAGTAAAATTTTTTGATATTTTAGATGCTTTAGGAACTCCAAAATGTAAAGTACTCTCTTAGGGAATAGCATTTAATTTTTGTCTTTGCTGTTCATATAGACTAATTATGCCTCTCTAAAATTTAAGAAATCTTACATTAGTGGATATTTTAATTGATCAGATTTTTCTCCTCTTTTCAGAGAAAGCTTCTTGCTATCTACCTCCACCATGATGAAAGTGTGTTAACCAACGTGTTCTGCTCACAAATGCTTTGTGCTGAATCCATTGTTTCTTATCTGAGTCAAAATTTTATAACCTGGGCTTGGGATCTGACAAAGGACTCCAACAGAGCAAGGTAATACTGTTGTTCACAAGTTACAAGTTGGGCTTCTATTAAAAAAAAAATCATTGTGTTTATCATCATCATAAACATTTTTCATCCTCAGCATTAAACTCTCTACCATTGCATTTCATTAGACAAAAGCTGCTCGTTGCAGCTAACACATGCAGTTATTTGCAATTGTGAAAATGTACCTTAACTTATAAAAACTTTTTAAATTCAAGAATAACCTGAAAACAAAAATACATTTCTCATCTTATATTTGCAGTGCAACAGACATTTCTAATATGTTTTTGAACTTTTAGAGAAACCTGATGTTTTTAATGATGTTCAGAAAAGGCAAAACAAGTCTAATATATAATCCTAGTAGTAAGTTTATTTTTTAATAACTTCAGTGAAGAAGGCAGGACTTTCTGCACAAGTCCAGTGGAGTTGGTAATAGCTTAACTCTAGCATATGCTAATTGATGTAATCGCTTTATTGCACACATTCTTTTGCACACAGCCAACAATACATCCATATTCTCAATAGGGAAAAAAAAATTCCTTTCCTAGTTGTCAGGATGAGTTTACTTAGTTTGTTAATCATAGTATCTTCAAGTGATTAACACTTCTTCATATTTTGCCTATTTCAGTTTCCCATCTGAAATATATTTCATCATGTTTAATTACACATGTGGCCGTAACATCCCATGATGCTACTTTGGGTGTGTTAACACAATCATAATCACAGGCTGCTGGTTCATGAACAGGGAGATTAAATTAATTCATTTCAAGGCAAGCATATTTTAGTCACCTAATTTAAACGATTATAGAACAATTAGAAACCATCTGATTTGTCTTTTTGTTATTTTATGGCTCACTGAATTTTTGGTCATCATTCAGACTTTGTTTTATTTAATCTGAATCAGAAAAGAACATGATTCTTTCCTTAAATGTGAGGCAAAATAATGTTGAAGCTATTTCATAATCTAATACTTCATTTCTTTAAGCAAATGGTTAGGAAATTTCATGAGATGACTTCGTTTTGCCTTGGAAATATTCCCTGTTATACATAAATAAAGAATCTTTAGCACCTGTATTTGTTTAAATTAAATCAGGTTATTATTCACACTCAGTTAAAGGTGATGAAAAGCAGTGCCAAAAACAGATAAAAATGCCACATCGAAGGTCTTTCATGAGGCAAAATACAGAGACTGGAGACTTGGCTAAATCTTTTGCCATTCACTGGCAGTAAGGAATCTCCTCCTTTCCTTTTATCCACAACTTGATGGAGAAGGAAACACTATTTCTAAACCATCTGTAGTGGCTAAGTTCAGTGGGCTACCTGCTGTTATTTTGTTCTATCCTCCATTTAATTCCTTAGTTCCTTTTATTTTACAATGACAAAAAATTGCAGTGTAGTTTCTTTTGAAAAACAGTGTTTGAGGGTTTCTTTTTTTTATGATGGCAATCAACAGCCATGTAATTGCTTTGTTATGTTTTACTAAAGAAGTCTGTTAAGTAGCACAACTTTGATACACTAGTAATAAGAGTTTGCAGGTTACAGAGACACCTGTGGTGACCAAAGCGACAGAAGCTGCTTATTAGAAAGAGCCAGTACAGCTGTGTCCTATTAACTCCTTATGACACTTTTTTAAAAACACTAAATAAAGGTGTTGTTTAAGGCTTTAGAGCTATTTCTCAATGAACTGCAGGACTGACTATTAAGTATGATAGGATATTTCAATCTACATTTTGAATTAAGCAACTGTCATGAAAATTTGTAAAAGGTAATATTAAAGACTGAAAATAGGAACATCTAGGAATTCAATTTAATAAACATTTATAGGAACCACAAATGGGGCAATAGGGGAATGGAATTATTTCTATAATTTAAGATACTTGGCATCCTTATTCAAAATCTATTAATAGTTCTGTCCATATTACAAATTTAAAAGGTGTTATATTTCTCTATATTAAAGTAACAAAAGATAATTACTGGGTACTGAGTTTAATACCTGGTTGATGAAACAATCTGTAAAACAAACACCCATGACACCAATTTACCTATGTAACAAACCTTCACATGTACCCTCCAAACATAAAAGTTTTTTTAAAATGTCAAAAAATTAAAAAGCAAGTAATAAAAAAAAAACAAATAAAATTACATAGCTACTTTTGATCCATCATTACTACTGTTAAGGCAAATGGGAAAATACACATTTTATAAACACAAGGTGAAAATTCATTAGAATGACATATTCCCAAAAAGGGGATTGACTTTGACATATGAAACTGTAAGATAATTAATTAGGCTGGTTTATTGCTTAAAAAAAGGGTTTAACTTAACCACAATTTTCTTGCCACCTATCATATCACAGATTCATCTAAATAAAATTGTCTAATTGGGTTTCCTACTGTATTATCTTTCTTGGATTTTTACACCACATTTATCCAGAGGTGTTTATCATGAAAACTGATTGCATCACTCATTAGATGCTTTTAACTTTGAGTAACAAAACCTCAAGCTTTCACTCTCAATTCAGTAGACGACTGCTTGCACTAATATTTATTGATCCATGGGGTACATGTCAAAAGGTGTTATGACATCATTTGCATATGATTAGCAAGCTGAAATGGGGACATATTAATATATGGAAATACAGAAGAGATTTCTAGGCATCACAAGTAAGATTGTTGTTTTGGGCTTCCTTTTAACTGTTATTTCTTTATGATAGATGTAAGTTTGGAAATAAATTCCTGGTTAATAGCTTGCCTCGTCCCATATCTGGTTAACCTAGTTCAGACAGGCCATAAAAATTTAGAGAGTCCTGGACCTGTAAGCCATTTGGATGTTTTTGTAGTGGTTTCCTAGGACTACCATCTGATATTATAGCTGAGGATGTTGATATCCAATATGGGAAGAGACTTGCCAAGCAGATATACTTTTGCTTAAGGATTACTCTGACTAAGCCTATAGAGGCATTAGTTCTTCAATCACAGTATACTGTGGATCTCTCATGTATGTAGGAGATAAGTGAAGGATATTAAACTAAGTGAATGCTTTGATGAAGTCACCAGAATATGAGTATCACTTGCTATTATAAATTAAATTTCCTAATTTCTCTAACAAATTGGAATAAGAAAAGAAACATTTCTATAGAATGTCATAACCCCTGTGATGTTGATGATTTGGATTTTTACACCTCTTAAATGATTCTAATAACCTTCTTTCTTAGTGGAATACTTAGATTTTCCAGCCCACTGTGTACAAAATATGTTGGAATAATTCTTAGGTTGATCTTAGAACATTCCAAATATGAACTGAGACATGAAACTTTAGCTGTAATGATTAATGTCTGTCATCTCCCCTGCTAAATTGTGATCTCCTGAAGAGCTTATTCATTTTGTTGGTTTCAGTAAACAAGGCACTTTTTTAAATTCTAGGAAAAAGAAACCCAGAAAGCATTTAGCAAATGAATGTATGCATTTATTTCCATCCAAGAATGTTGCTTATAATTTCAATATTGCATATCTAAATTGGAGGTTTTTTCCTTGGAAAATATTGTACAGTCTTTTGGGCCACCTTATCTAGTTGGATTTCAGAGCCATTCTTAAAACAGTGACAGGAAGCCCTTGGTAGTCTTGAGAAGTGCTAAAGGTATAATTTCTTTTTTTTTTTTTAAGAGACAAGGTCTCGTTATGTTGCCCTGGCTGGAGTGTGTAATCATAGTGCACTGCAGCCTGAAACTCCTGGCCTCAAGCAATCATCCTGTCTCAGCCTTCTGAGTAGCTGGGACTACAGGTGTGTGACACCATGCCCCGTTCTAATTTCTTAAATATTGGTTTGACCAGTAGTTCTGATGGAAATAGTAGGATGTACCTGTAAAAGAAAGAGCTAAAAACAGATAGGTAATAGTAAACAAGAAGATCTTGCAAATCACTTCATAGTTATGCAGGATTGGTTCCAGGACCTCCTGCAGATACCAAAATCCACAGATACTCAAGTCCCTGATAGAAAATGGCATAGTATTTACATATAACCCATGCACATCCTCCCATCTACTTTGAGTCGTCTCTAGATTACTTATAATACCTAATACAATGTAAGTGCTATGTAAATAGTTGTTATACTGTATTGTTTAGGTAAAATGACAAGGAAAAAGTGTACATGTTCAGTATAGACACAATTTTTTTCTGAATATTTTTGATACTTGGCTAGTTGAATCAACAGATGCAGAACCCACAGATGCAGAACCCACAGATGCAGAAGACCAACTGTGTTTCTTATGTTTGTTCATTGAGTAAACACTGAATATTTAATATGAACCAGGAATGGTGCTGTCATCTGAGAATGAAAGGTGGAACAAGACACAATCCTAACCCTCAAAACACATATAGTCTAGTAGGCAAAACAGACATAAGAGCTAATATATAATATGAGGTATGTACAAGGTACTTTAGGAGTATAGATGAACTTTATACAGAGTTGCTGTACCCAAGGGGGTCAAAGAGGGACTTGAAAGAGATGATACACATAAAGATGAAGTTAGAACTTTACTCTTTCTATTTAGAGATTTTTATATTACCATAGTAGCATTCCTAGTCTTTTGGGTGGCAGATTTTGCTCTTCTTTACTAAAGGGCATTGGTGTTTAAAGCCTCATAATTACGTATGGGGAACAAAGGGTCAGTGGTTGAAATAATTGAGGAGAGAAGGAATAGAGGGAGCTGGCTAGCTAATATAATCCTCTATAATCTGAACCAGATTGAGAATTAAAGTCAACCAGCCAACATGGACAAATCCAAAGAAGATGTTTTGTTAATGATTCATCCAGCATTGGCATATGTCTACAGGCAGACAGTGAAGCAGGGATAAGATATTCTTTTGGATATGTAACATGTAGAAAACCATCATAGATTTAACTAATAAAAATATTGTTAGTACAATGTATTCTTAATGAATGAGTGCTTAGCTATGAAAGAATAATTTCTTAAAATTCAGGACAGGTATCACTTCTGGGAAGTCTTGCCTCTCCCCATCCTTCTCTTGCCTCAGTCAGGGTTAAAATGCATATTCTGTATGCTCCCATAATATATCTGTACTAACTTGTACTAATAGCACTCATTACATTGTATGGTCATTGTCTATCTCCCTGCTAGGTTGTCAGCTCCCTGAGGGAGCTATGTCTGTAATCCCATTGGTTTACACAACTTCCTTCCTTCCTTCCTTCCTTCCTTCCTTCCTTCCTTCCTTCCTTCCGTCCATCCGTCCATCCGTCTGTCCTAGATGGCGTCTCGCTCTGTCACCCAGGCTGGAGTGCGGTGGCGCAATCCAGCTCACTGCAACCTCCACCTCCCAGGTTCAAGTGATTCTTCTGCCTCAGCCTCCCGAGTAGCTGGAACTACAGGTGTGTGCCACCACGCCTGGCTAATTTTTGTATTTTTGGTAGAGATGGGGTTTCACCATATTGGCCAGGCTGGTCTAAAACTCCTGACCTCATGATCCACCTGCCTCAGCCTCCCAAAGTGCTGGGATTACAGGCATGAGCCCCTGCGCCCGGCCACAACTACCTTTTAAAGAGTAAGTACTATATTGATAATAAATCATCTCTAATAGGCTTATTGAAAAATAGCAAGAGAGTACCAGTTTGAGTAATGGCAAGAATATTGGAAATACAGCTACATTCCTCTAATTGTGTGATCTTCCCCTGTAGCCACTAATGGTACTAATATATGGTACTAAAGCCTTCATTCTCCTTACAGAATGAACTAAAAATGTTCAGACTGGATACTTGATCTTCTGCTGGCATTGTAGGGTCCCAGAATGTCATGGTGTACGCTCATATGCCTCAGGTGCTCCCAGGCCATCTGGAAAGTGGCTTGAATTCCAACCCAGATGAGTTCATCCTGGTTCTAGAGTTTCTTCCCCAGACTTCACCAAACCTCTGTGATACCCCAGAAGTAATTGGCCTCCCAAATTGGGCCATTCTGGGATGGTACTGAACCTTCTACAATGGTGGGAGAACTGATTCAACATGTCCCAGGCCCGGAGTGCTAGAGTGGCTACACGGTGGAAGAGACCAAGCATTCAGGCATGTTCTATTAGAACACCATCAGAATTAACCATAAATAGTACTATGTAAAGCACCAGCATAGTAAGTATTAATCTGTTTCCCTCTATAAAGGCTGTGCCCTCCAGGCTGAGCTGTGGATTCTTAGCTGAAGTTGCTTCATCAAGGAAAGCTACATCACATATGTGACACAATGAACCACCAGTATTAACCAGTAATAAGTGGGTTAGTGGGTATCTCTTGTTCTGAATAGGAGGGTCCACAAAGCAAATATAGGTGCTGGTTTAGATTATCTAATTCTAGAACACTTAGAATCAAACATTGAATTTGACTGGAATAGTGCCAACTGGGTAATCAGCTGGCTATGAGTGCTGGAAAATGAATTGCTTATGTAAGTACCTGAGATGAAAATGTTTTGCACATCAGTGTACATGCTACTAAGTGTTAAATCAGGCATTGCACACTATTTCTAAGCAGTGTTCATAGTAGCTGTAAACAGTTCCCCAGGAGTTGCCAATAGTGCTTGGGTTACACAGGTTGCTTGTAACATACACATAGCATTGTATTAAATTTTGTACACACATTTAATACCAATATTCACAGACAGAATTCTGTGCCTGTCAGTATTAGCTTTTGAACTTAATGCCCTTGGGTGTGGTATTTCAGGTCACTGCAAACTTCCGCTGCTGTGCTGACAGGTACTTGTTAGGCTTAATATTCAAGTGATAGTTTTCCACATTACTTAATCTTTGGCAAGAGTTAATTGACTTAAAGCACTTATTATCAGTAAGCTGTCTTCACATGTACTTTCCATCTCAGTAATTAGCCATATTCACAGTGGCTTACCCTTAATTCCAAACTACTCAGTGGTTCATGCCTGGCTGAAGCCTTGCTGACCATGTTACTCTAACCCTACACTTCCATTTGATCTGGCAAATATAGCTCAGGTGTGGAGTCTGCATGGGAGACACAGGAG
The DNA here is from genome assembly GCF_000001405.40 of Homo sapiens. Lineage (NCBI taxonomy): Eukaryota > Metazoa > Chordata > Mammalia > Primates > Hominidae > Homo > Homo sapiens. Next base: position 50,560,061 of record NC_000001.11, on the reverse strand, counting down.
TATTAATTTCCAGCTGCTACCCTAGGTACAAATATGGATTCTGCAGAGGTAGCTGATAAAACAGATGAACATGTTGTGGTCAGGGTACTAAGACTTCAGGAGAGCCTTCGTGCCAGATTTCCATATAATTTTCTCCAAACTTCTTTATTCCCTTTATGCAACATTTTCCTTCCAGTACTTTTAAAGGAAGTGTATTGCCATCCTAAACATCCCAGGTCAAGGGCTTAATTAATGCTTTAAAATGAAGGTTCCAAAACACCAGGAGAGTTTGTCATTTTCTCCCTGGTTTGTTTTGTGAAGAGGGAGGAGAGAAGGTGAGGAGGAACCCCTCCTGTTCCATGATTACATCCTACCCACTCATTTTCTCCTTTTCTCTTCTGCTTTTGATTTTTAGTGGCGGTCTTAACAGAATGTCAAGATCAATTTGCAGCATGGTTTAACTCAAGGTTTGCGTTCTGCCAGCAGCAATTGTCCCTGCAAACAATGCCGTGTGTTCTTGTAACTTCAGAAGCTTTTAGAGGGATCATGGCAAGGGCAGCATCTAATGACTTTATTAGTGTAGGGTTTCAAAATGGGCTCAGTAATTGTTCATATCTCTTTGTCAGCAAGTCATAATTACTGCTCAGCATTGTCCAAGGGTACACTTGTGAATAGTTTCCTAATAGTACTGAAAGGAAAAAAGGAAAGGGAGAATGGATAAAAGTGATGGCCTCTTACAATTGAGAATAAGTCAGTCTCTATATAGTTGATGGCTAAACTGTTTATAGTACATTCAACATTCTTAAAACAGATTATCCTTTTTTTTTTTTTTGAGACGGAGTCTCGCTCTGTTGCCTAGGCTGGAGTGCATTGGTGTGATCTTGGCTCACTGCAAACTCCACCTCCTGGGTTCAAGCAATTCTCCTGTCTTAGCCTCCCAAGTAGCTGGGGCTACAGGCGCTTGCCACCATGCCTGGCTAATTTTTGTATTTTTAGTAGAGATGGGGTTTCACCTTGTAGGTCGGGCTGATCTCGAACCCCTGACCTCAGGTGATCCACCTGCATTGGCCTCTCAAAGTGCTGGGATTACAGGCATGAGCCTCCTCGTCCGGCCAAAATAGATTATCCTTTTAAAAATGTTCTTTGAGATAATTTAAAATTACCAATTTACGAGCCTTTTTTACTCTGATTTGGATACTTCCTACACTCCTACCTAGTACTACAGTTATAACTGCCTGGTTGCACATGCATCGTATTTGAATCAAAGCATTTGTTTTTAAAAAAGAGCTCATTTTCCTCTGCACTAATCTAATTAATGCTATTCAGGAAATATGCATTTAACTCAGATACAGTTGTCAATAAATAGCCTATGAAAACTGTTGTTAGAAGCTAAGATACAAAGGTGATATTATTGGCAAGCCATTCCAAAAGAATAACATTTTAAGTTTCTATCACATTCTATTTTTCTCATGCACTAGATCTTTCTTATAAGTCTGTTGGTGTTCTCCTTGGTCATCTCCCAATTACTCTGTGTTTTGAATATTTTTTGAATATTCTAGGTATCTTGATTATGAGAGTCACAGAATTAAAAGAATCATCACTGTCTCAAGATGAAGTTTGAGGTTAATTCCAAACCTTTCCCTGTTTGTGATCTGTTGCTGAATCCTTCCCCATTCTGTAACCCGTCCCCCGACCCCACCAGTGTACTCATGTATAGTTATATGCAAATAGTTACTCCCAATAGCTGGTTATGCTTGTATTTTAGAACATACAGTTTTTATATTGATATAAAACATGAGTAATCTAATGACACATTCCAAAAATAAGATAAATATCTTATTCTAAAAATAAGATAAATATCTTATTCTAAAAATAAGATATTTAGGCTGGATGCGGCGGCTCACACCTGTAACCCCAGTGCTTTGGGAGTCTGAGGCAGGTGGATCACTTAAGGCAAGGAGTTCAAGACCAGCCTGGCCAACATAGTGAAACCCTGTCTGTACTAAAAATACAAAAACTAGCCTGGCATGGTGGCACATGCCTGTAGTCCCAGCTACTTGGGAGGCTGCTTGAGCCCAGGAGCCAGAGGTTGCAGTGAGCCGAGATTGCACCACTGCACTCCAGCCTGGGCAACAGAGCAAGACCCTGTATCTAAATAAATAAATAAATAAATAAGATATTTATAAAGTGAAATATCTTAAATATATATATGCCATCGTGTATTTTGCTTTTCTTCTTGCCTGAAATTAAAAAGGTCTGAAAAGATTTGTTTCCTTAACTGCTCTCATTAATAATTTTTATATTGATGATATTTCGGCAGACCTTTTACTAAATAATATCACCTATGCCATTGAAATTGGTAGCACATTTCTCCTCTTCTATAAACACTGATAGTAAAACAGTCAGAGAAATTATAAAAGAAACATGTTAGTTCAGTGATATAAGTAATTTGGTTCCTCTGACATATTTTACAGTGTTTGCTTGTCAGTCTGCATAGATGCTAAAAGATATTTTAAAGCCCAACAATCTTAATGTTCTAATCTGCCAAATATACCACCAAAAAAAGCAAAGTTTCTGTTAGTCTGGAATTGGAGAGTAAGGTGGAATCCTGTTTCTGATGTGTTCAGGTAATTATTAAAGAATAGATTGGGTGTCCTTTCCTTAAGCATATGTTTGTGTCTCTCTACTTAATAGCATTAGGGTAATAGAGGAGTGACAGATAGTTTTGTATTATTCAAAACAGAGTTAACTCTAAAGACTTTTTAAAAGCTGTTTGACAGTTTATCTACTGTTGGCTAACTCAGTCTGTAGCTACAGCAACAATTTAAGAATCCTAAATAGATTGCTTTCATGTGCTTTTCTTCCCCTCAATACATGATCAGCACCAAGAAAGTCCTTTTCAGCAAATAGTTTTCTACACACCTCAGCTAAGGAAGGAATGAGGCAAGGTTATGTGAAAAATTAAAAAGCCTTGATTGCCATACCTCAAATCTGAGAAATTACATAGCCTAGTCCCAGTAATAAATGAGCTACTGGATTCTCTGAGCAGCTCTCAAATAATTTACTGTCTCAGCAACAAATTTTATTATGTGGCTATTAGGAAAGCTATGTATTAACTTGTTAGTTCTTGAAGCAGACTTGTACACATTAAAATGTGTCAGTTGCTGTTCTTAAAGAAAACTGATTTTCTATTTTATTTTATTTATTTTATTTTATTTTATTTTATATTATTTTATTTTATGTTTGAGACAGGGGTCTTGCTCTGGTGCCCAGGCTGGAATGCAGTGGCACAGTTTCAACTTACTGCAGCCTCAACCTGCTAGGCTCAAGCAGTCCTCCCACCTCAGCCTCCCAAGTAGCTGGGACTACAGGTGCACACCACTACATCCAGCTAATTTTTGTATCTTTTTGTAGACACGGGGTCTCACCATGTTGCCAAGGCTGGTCTCAAATTCCTGAGCTCATGCAATCTGTCCACCTCAGCCTCCCAAAGTGCTGGGATTACAGGCATAAGCCACTCTGCCTGGCCAATTTTCTTTTTAAATTTCAATAGATTTAGGGGTACAAGTGGTTTTTAGTTACATGGATGAACTGTATAGTGGTGAAATCTGAGTTTTTAGCATACCCGTCTTTCAAGTAGTGTACATTGTACCCAATAGGTAATTTTTCATTCCTTACCTCCTTCCTATTTTCCCCCTTCTGAGTCTTCAGTGTCCCTTATACCTCTCTATAGGCCCCTGCATAACCATAGTTAGCTTCCACTTCTAAGTGAGAACATGATGACCTCCAGTTTCATCCAGGTTGTTGCAGAAGACCTTATTCTTTTTTTTTTTTTTTTTTTTTTGGAGATGGAGTCTCGCTCTTTCGCCCAGGCTGGAGTGCAGTGGCGCGATCTTGGCTCACTGCAAGCTCCGCCTCCTGGGTTCACGCCAGTCTCCTGCCTCAGCCTCCCGAGTAGCTGGGACTACAGGCGCCCGCCACCAAGCCCAGCTAATTTTTTGTGTATTTTTAGTGGAGACGGGGTTTCATTGAAGACCTTATTCTTTTTTATAGCTGAGTTGTATTCTATTATATATACACACACCATATATATACACACCATATATATAATATATACACATACCATATATATACACCATGTATATATACACACACCTAATTTTATATATATATATGTATACGTACCACATTTTCTTTATCCACTCATTGGTTAATGGGTACTTGAAGTTGATTCCCTATCTTTGCCATTGTGAATTGTGCTGCAATAAACATATGCATGCAGGTATCTTTTTGATATAATGACTTTTTTTCCTTTGGGTACTCAGTAGTGGGATTGCTGAATCAAATGGTAGATCTACTTTTAGTTCTTGGAGGAATCTGAATACTGTTTTTCATAGAGGTTGTACTAATTTACATTCCCACCAACAGTGTATAAGAGTTCCTTTTTACTGCATCTGTGTCAACATCTATTAGTTTTTGACTTTTTAATAATGGCTGTTCTGCTGTTCTTACTGGTGTAAGGTGGTATCTCGTGGTTTTAATTTGCATTTCCCTGATGATTAGTGATATTGAGCATTATTTCATGTTTGTTGGCCATTTGTACATCTTCTTTTGAAAAATGTCTGTTCATGTTGTTTCCCCACTTTTTAATGGGATTATTTGTTTTTTTCTGGCTGATTTGTTTGAGTTCCTTGTAGATTCTTGATAGTAATCCTTTGTCGGATGTATTTTCTCCCATTCTTTTGCTATGCAGAAGCTTTTTAGAAGCTTTGGGTTTTATTTTGGGGGGTGTGTGTGTGTGTGTGTCAGAGTCCTGGGGTGTGTGTGTGTGTGTGTCAGGGTCCTGGTGTGTGTGTATGTGTGTGTGTGTCTCGCTCTGTCACCTGGGCTGGAATGCAGTGGCACGATCTTGACTCACTGCAGCCTCGACCACCTGGGCTCAAGTGATCCTCTCACTTCAGCCTCCTGACTGAAGTAGCTGGGACTACAGGCTCATGCCGCCATGCCCAGCTATTATTATTTTTTTTTTGTAGAGACAGGGGTTTCACCATGTTGCTCAGGCTGGTCTCCTGGGCTCATAGAAACCACAATTTTTCATTACAACTGTTTTCTCATTGTTTGTGCAGACAGACAGATGTCAATCATCATAGAATGTAGAGCAATTGAGAAGTAAGGCTCAGTCAGGCTGGAAATACGAAAAACAAGATGATATTAGACAAGTAGTATAACATTTCTAGATCTTTCTTTTTCATCTATGAAAAGAGAGTGACTCACCTATTTGACCTGAGACCTTTGTCTGTAATATTCTGACTTGGATACAGTTGTTTTCAGTAGAAAAATGTGAGGTAAGCAAGGGTTCATTTTTAAAATAAATTTTGGTGAGGTTTGATATATCAGATTATAACATAAGCATGCTACCCTTTCCAGTTTGTAATAATCTGATCAGAGTGATTTTAGTGGGGTGTAGTGAAGAAGACGACAGTAATTTTCTTCCTCTTTCGTTTTGTAACAAGGAATATCTGTTAAAAGTATATTAGTAGCTAAGAGCAAGACTATAGTACGGCTTTTTAAGAAGCCAAACTACATGATGACAACTACAACCATTAATTAAGTACCTACTTAATTAATTATAGTGCCAGACACTATATAAATGTGCTAATTTAAGACTCTCTCTCTCTCTCTCTCTCTCTCTATATATATATATATATATATATATATTTACCTCATTTAATCTTTTCCACAATTCTGCAGGGTAAATAGCAAGATCCCATTTCACATGTGAGGAAACTATTTGTGGCTCAGAGAGGTTCTGTGAGGTCATTGCAATGGCTATACCAGCTATAAATCCCAATGCTACCTGTGCTTTTCTACCACATAATGCTTTTTTTCCCATGATCTTGCCATGCTGAATGATTCAGCAACAAAAATGTACTAGATAATTATCTAGTGTGCAAAGTCCTGCAGGAGGTATAAGGGAAGTCCATGGACCTTTTGTTCAAGGAACAAATAAACGTGAAATTCACCCAGTCTTAGAGTTAGGGATTAGACGTGTCCTTAGCAGTACAACTTGCAGCCACCCAGGCCTTTTTTTCTATAACATGCTTAGCTGATGTTGCTCCAGCCTGTGCTTGAATATTGCCAAGACAGGGAAATGAAAGCTTCAAAAGATAGCTTTTTTTTTTAGCTGCTCTGAAAACTGGAAATGTCTTTACTACAATGCTTCTTCTATAGAGAGCTTCCTCAACTTTATCCTTTTTGGTTCTGGTTTTGCAGTTACCTGATATAAGCCTAACTTCTCTATAGCATTATAACCTTTTATCAATGTAACTCTAGTTCTCATTTTTCCTATTTTCCCTGCCTCTTCCTACCAAATATAATTAGTTCTTTTCACTGTTCTTCATATGATAGTGTGTCTAGACCCAGCCCCTTCTAAAGGTGCCGGGATCAAGCATAGTGCTCTAGAGGAGGTTTGTCTGGTGCTGTGCACAGTTCTATCTGAAATTTTATTGTGGGCTTCTGTTGAACTCAGGGAATCATCTAAAACCCCATTGTTTTCCAGCTTGAGTTGATGCTAAACCAGATTTCTGCCATTCTTTACTAATGCAGTTGATTGACAAGATCATTTGGGGTTCAGATTCTGTCTATTGACCTTCACAAGTTTTATCACCCACAAATGAGTCTTAAGTCCTTATCATCTCTACTCCTGTCATCATTCTTGATAATCCTCTCGGTTCCTAGACATGTTCTCCAGAAAATTTTTCTTCTTCTCTGTATTTACCACATTTAGATGGGGTCACTAATAGAAACTATATTGCCTCATATATTTTGATTTCAAACATCTGGCTCTGATCACCACTTCCTACCACTCCTATTTATTTGTTCAAGTATCACTGGTCTTAAAGATTTTTTTATCTCCTCATGCCTTCCAATCTATTGACCTTTCTCTCACCCCATCTACCCTTTCCTATATCCAGTTTTCATATTCCTCATCCTGTTTAGATTTTGAGGTTCATCGTTGTAATTTCCTTGTGATACTTTAAACTCTCTCTGTTACACTCATTTTGTTAGACCCGCCTGTTCACCTTCTGTATGCCTGTACCCTTGCAGTTGAACACAGCTAGAGAAAATCACACTGTCTTTTCTCTTCTCTTTTTTCTCTCTCTCTTTTAAATAAACACAAGCTTCAAATAAGCACACAATAATGCTGGGCAAGCCTACTGGGATTTGGGATTCTCTAGTTAGTTTTCTTTGCCTAACTGAGATATCTATTTCATACTACTCTTCATTCCCCAAATATATCATTCCCCTCTCTACCTCCCCTCCCAGCTGCCCCCACTAGTTGCTTGAGAATAAAAGAAGTTATCAGAAAGACAGAAATGAGCCCATTTTTCTATCCTGTCTATATATTCCTTCAGAAAGGTCTGATGAACCTTTCTAGAGAAGGCTTCACCATCATTCTTTTTCATAGCACTTTCATAGAACTTTCCATAATAAGCCATTACTTTTGCTTACTTTAACATTTATTTTCTATTTCTTCCAATGAATATAAGCTTTATAAGGATAAGAGTTATATCAATCTTTTCCACTTTTGTTTCCTATTAAAATGCTAAATAATTATTTGTTGATGTTATAAGAATTCAGAGCATCATGATGATTAAGAATATGAATGAGCTTTGGATTTATTCAGACCACGATTGGAATTCTAGCTATGCCACTAGGCCACCATAGTGACTGTGGTGGGTGAGTTGCTTAAACCCTCTAGCTGAAGTTTTTTTTTTTTTTTTTGGAAACAGAGTCTCACTCTGTTGCCCAGTCTGGAGTGCAGTGGCACAATCTCAGCTCACTGCAACCTCCACCTCCCGGGTTCAAGCTATTCTCCTGCCTCAACCTCCTGAGTAGCTGGGACTACAAACGCACACTACCATGCCTGGCTAGTTTTTTTGTATTTTTAGTAGAGACAGGGTTTCATCATGTTGGCCAGGCTGGTCTCGGACTCCTGACCTCAGGTGATCCGCCCGCCTTGGCAACTCAAAGTGCTGGGATTATGAGCATGAGCCACCGCACCTGGCCTGCAGTTTTCGTACCATGAAATGGAGATAAAACTACATTCATCAGAGAGTTATTAGAACTAAATGGGATGATTGATTTTAAAGTCTGGTACAGAGTAAGTGCTCAGTGCATTTATCTACATGTAAGTATTTTATTTGTCTCAGATATTTATGAAAATGTTAACAGGACAAAGCCAGCTAGTAAACTATTTGAGACTACTCTCAATTTGGTAGCATTCTACAGATTGAATTTCCTGATGACAAATGAATTGTCTACCTTAGCCTGTATTTCTGAATCTTATCTAAAGGATCTTTTGGAACACCTTATTATATGCCTTACTGAAATCCAGATAGTCAAAATTTATGGAATGCTGATGCATTCTTAGTCTAGGAAACTCACAGTTAGTTTTGGGAATAGTATGTTCTTAAGGGCCTATGCTGCCTGCCATTCATCGCTACTGTATTCTAATTGTTCATAAACCATCTTTCTAAGTGACTTTTTAAAGTTTTGTGGGTATTGTGAGCAAGTTTACTGGTCTGTACATTTTAAAATCATGGTATTTACATGTTTTTAGGGACACAGATTCCTCATGATAGTTACTTCATTATCATTAATTTTAGCTTTTTACTGTCTCATTCATTCTACCATCTATTCATTTCTTTATCCAAAAAAGTATTCATTAAGCTGTGTACCATATGTGTACCATATACTGTGTACTATATACCATTAAACTGTGTACCATATACTGTGCTTGAATTGGGAAAACATTCTTGCTCCTCTTATTTTCCCTCTGTATATATGTCTGGGTTTTTTTTCCATTTAGCATTTACAGTTTGCCTCCTTTAAAAAATTGACATAATAGCTATACGTAATCTCATAATCTCTGTACATACAATATAAAATAGGAAAATAAAAAATAAAATTGGATGAAAACCAATTAAAAGTAGCAAATAGATATGAATATTTATAAGCACCTGAGTTGAAGTTTAGCTGTAGAATTCCAGCAGATAAAGGAGAGAAAGGACATGTCATAGGCATATAATCATTTATTCATCTGTCCATTCCATATGTATCTATTGTATTTCTCTTATATGCCAGATCACACACCTGAGAGCATTTACATTTTACCATTTACAGTTCTCATTTTCTGACATATGGAATCATAATAGTTCTTCTCAAGATTTCCTGACACTGAAGTCAAGGGAGAGTTTTGTTGCATGATTTTATTTGAGAGTCCTTAGGAAAAGTAATAGACAATAAACTTCTACTGTTGTTTTGCAGAAGACAGATTATTTTAAATAGTTTTTTAAAATATAAATCCCCTGTAAAAGCAGAGGGCTTTGTATTTAATCTTTTTTTCAGTAATGATAATTCTTTAGGGAGTTTAGGTGATGTGGTCCTTAAATACTCCTTTATGATTACCTAACTCATAACAGGTATAAAGTTTAGAGGAAGAGCCTACACAGTCAACCTGTCTATTCAGCTCTTTGTGTTAAACATCAGCTGTCTGAATTGAGCTTAATAAGTGCTGGGTTACAATCAGCTCTTGCTTGAAAGCTTTGATGAGTGACTAAGATGCCAATATTCTGTTTTCCTGGTCACTTATCTGTTAAAGACTTTCCTCCTGTGGGTGAGATTGCAACTGAAGCACTCCCACTTTTTTTTTTTTTTTTTTTTTTTTTAAAGACGGAGTCTCACTCTGTCGCCCAGGCTGGAGTGCAGGGGCGCGATCTCGATTCACTGCAAGCTCTGCCTCCTGGGTTCACGCCATTCTCCTGCCTCAGCCTCCCAAGTAGCTGGGACTACAGGTGCCTGCCACCATGCCCGGCTAATTTTTTTGTATTTTTAGTAGAGAGGGGTTTCACCATGTTAGCCAGGATGGGCTTGATCTCCTGACCTCGTGGTCTGCCTGCCTTGGCCTCCCAAAGTGCTGGGATTACAGGCGTGAGCTACGGTGCCCAGCCATGCACTCCCACATTTTTATATCCATTAGGGTGATAGTTGTTTTCAAATACATGAGGACATTATGTGTAAATGTCAAAGTTCCAAGAGAAACCAACCAACCCTGAAATAAATGATGCTGAAACATTTTATATAATGATAAAAATCACAAAGTGTCCAAATTTGGCTGTGCACAGTGGCTCATGCCTGTAATCCCAGTTACTTAGAAGGATCGATTGAGCCCAGGAGTTTGTGATCAGCCTGGGCAATATAGCAAGTCTGTGTCTCTTAATTTTTTTGTTTTTGTTTTTGTTTTTTGAGATGGAGTCTCTCTGTGTCACCTAGGCTGAAGTGCAGTGGTGGGATCTCAGCTCACTGCAACCCCCACCTCCCCGGTTCAAGCAATTCTCCTGTCTCAGCCTCCCGAGTAGCTGGGATTACAGGTGCCCACTACCACGCCCAGCTACTTTTTGTATTTTCAGTAGAGACGGGGTTTCACCTTGTTGGCCAGGCTGGTCTTGAACTGACCTCGTGGTCCGCCCACCTCAGCCTCCCAAAGTGCTGGGAGTACAGTCGTGAGCCACCATGCCCAGCCTTAAATTTTGTTTTTTTAAAACTTAGCTGGGCATGGTGGTGCATGCCTGTAGTCCCAGCTACTCGGGAGGCTGAGGCAGAAGGATCGCTTGAGCCCAGGAGTTCAAGCCTTCCGTGAGCTATGATCATGCCACTGCACTCCAGCCTGGGCAACAGAGTGAGACCCCACCCCTTTAAAAGAAATCCAAAACAAAAAACAAAGTCTCTAAATTTGGCAGCTAGAAAATTTAGGGAACATGACAACGTTAAATATATAGATAGATTTAAAGTAGAGATACATATACTTTAAATCTCTGCTCTGAGTAGGACGTTATCTTACAATGATGTTGGTGCATATTCTAGAAGTTATGCAGCAGTATAATACAGTGGCAAGCATGGTGTAAAGAATAACTTCCTGTTTAGTGATCTGAGTCTGAGATTGGTGCTATAACTTATTTTAGGAAACATTTCACCATACCTTTAATTTGGAGAGATGGGGGTGGAAAAACCAATTTTGACTCTGAAGCACACAAAAAGAAAGAAAAACAAGTAGAATTTATTAATCCACAGACCAATTCCAAAAGTAGGTATTATTATCTTCATTTTATAGATGAGAAAGCTGAGGCCCTTAAGTTATCCAAAGAAACAGCTAATTTACAAAATCAGATTTGTTCGACTCCATAGTCTTTGTTCTTCCCACAATACTATGCTGCTTGCAGCAATTCCTAATTTCTCTAATATATTAATATTTGGATATTTTATACCTTTTCTAAGTCACATTTTCAGTCAGTGGGTGGTGACAGGATGAAATTATATAAAAAGTACAGTTTGCTAAAAATTAGACAGTAAGTTTAGAATCATAAACTTGTGGACCAACACCTGCTTATTTTGAGGGTTCAAGTGGCCTGTGGAGGTGGAAACACAGTGAAAAGGGCCCTGAAGACTGTAATTATTCACACTGACTGTCTTTGAATTAAACTGATTTCAAAAGTAGTTGGAAGAGAAAAAGGAAGATTGTATGGTCAACATTGTCATAGTGAAGATAAAGGTTATTGAAGCATGAATTGGCCCATTCATGCAACAAATATAGTAGGTGCTAGGAATACAGAGGTGAGTAAGCAATGGTTCTTCTACTAGCTGTCCTAGGAGTTGCACCTTACAACATCAAGTTCTCCCTGACTTCTAAGCACCCGTTCCTTTCTCTGATTTTCCCCAGCACTTCATCTGAACCACTAAATGTAGGCCCCAGTAATATACTAGATTACATTTACTGTTTGGGGGCCTTGATTTATCAAAGGCAAAATATTCTTACTATGCTAAAGACAAAAACCATGTCTTATCTCGTCATATATTTGGTGGGCCCTCATAAATATTTATTGGTTGGTAAAAGGCAAAAACACAGAAGAAATGTTATATGGCATTAAACATAAATTGGCTCTCTTATTCAGGCCCTGGAAAGTGAATCTTTTCTTTGCATTGCTAGAGAAGGAATTTCTGCATTTGATAAGAGATTGAATTAGATGTTCTCTATTATCCCTCCTAAGAGTCTATGATCAACACTTGAGAAAAAGTAAACACCATTTTTATGAAGAAATTTTCAAGTACTTAAATGTTTATGTTCTTACTTAGTGGTAAGAAAAAGCCAATTATTATTTATGATTATTGTTCCTCAAAAAACTTAGGATAAATTGTCTCCTATAGATTAGCTATACCCTTGTTATTAAACTTTAAGTGCCTCAAAGCCTTTTGCATTTGAGTTATTTCTAGATGGCAACAAGGAGAAAGATTAAGAAATTACATTGCTTTTGCCGGGCGCGGTGGCTCACGCCTGTAATCCCAGCACTTTGGGAGGCCGAGGCAGGTGGATCACCTGAGGTCAGGAGTTCGAGACCAGCCTGACCAACATGGAGAAACCCTGTCTCTACTAAAAATACAAAATTAGCCCAGTGTGGTGGCACTTGCCTGTAATCCCAGCTACTCAGGAGGCTGAGGCAGGAGAATCACTTAAACCTGGAAGGTGGGAGGTTGAGGTGAGCCTAGATCACGCCGTTGCACTACAGCCTGGGCAACAAGAGCAAAACTCCATCTCAAAAAAAAAAAAATTACGTGGCTTTTTAAAACTCTGACTACTAATCTATTGAGATAATTTAACAGTTTACTATTACTGGAAGCCTCAGGCAGATGAGATATGCTTTTTTAGGTTAAATTCTCCCAAAATCTCATCCTGTGTTTTCTTAACATTACCTTTGGTTTGTTCTCCAACATGCTTACAATATGTGCATTTGCATCGTGAGGCATTATATTGTCTGTTTAGAAAAAAATTTGAGGTCCGGGTGTGGTGGCTCATGCCTGTAATCCCAGCAGTTTGGGAGGGTGAGGCCAGTGGATTGCTTGAGCCCATGAGTTCAAGACCAGCCTGAGCAATGCAGTGAAACCCATCTCTACAAAAAAAAAAATACGAAAATTATCCAGGCATGGTGGCGCTTACCTGTAGTCCCAGCTACTCCAATGGCTGAGGTAGGAGGATCACTGGAGCCCGTGAGGCGGAGGTTGCAGTGAGCCAATATCACACCACTGCAAAAAAGATAGATTTGAACAGAAGACTCATATAAAATAGAAAAATATGTTTAACACTGTTAAAGGTTTGGGATTACATGCAGTTTTTCTTCATGTAAGGGACTTGCTCTTTTACCAGTTTTATGATTGGCTAACACATTCACATTAATCAAAATTCAAAGGCATAAAAAGGTATGTAATAAAAAGTCTCCTTCTTAAACCCATATCTATGTGACCCTCCCCAGAGGCAACATTCTTATTTATCCATCCAGAGGTTATTTTGTATATAAACAAATTAATGGCCGGGCGCGGTATCTCATGCCTGTGATCTCAGCACTTTGGGAGGCTGAGGCAGGAGGATCACAAGGCCAGGAGTTCGAGACCAACCTGACCAACATGGTGAAACCCCATCTCTACTAAAAATACAAAAATTAGCCAGGTGTGGTGGCGCGTGCCTGTAATCCCAGCTACTCAGGTAGCTGAGGCAGGAGAATCGCTTGAACCCAGGTGGCAAAGGTTGCAGTGAGCTGAGATTGCACCACCGCACTCCAGCCTAGACGACAGAGTGAGACTCTGTCTCAAAAACAAACAAAAAAAGAAACCAAATTAATATGTATTTATTTTTCCCCAGTTTTACACAAATGGTAAACACAATTTAATACCTTCCTTTTATCACTAACATTACTTCATAAAGATATTCCATATCAGTTAATAAAGAAATCTATTTAATGGCTACATAGTATCTCTTTAAATTCCATAATATACTATAATTTTATTTAACCAAGATTGATTGATTTAGACACAGGGTCTCACTCTGTTGCCCAGGCTGGAGTGCAGTGTCATGATCATGGCTCACTGTAACTTCAAATTCCTGGCCTCAAGCGATCCTTCTGCCCCAGCCTCCCAAGTAGCTGGGACTATAGGCATATGCCACCTTGCCAACTAATTTTTTTATTTTTTGTAGAGGCAGGTCTCACTTTGTTATCCAGGTTGGTCTTCAACTCCTGGGCTTAAGCAATTTCCTCCCCCCACCTTGGCCTCCCAAAGTGCTGGGATTACTGGTGTGAGCTACTGCATCCAGTAATTGATGGGTTACACCCAGTATTCTGCTGTTACAAACATCCAGTAATTAACTGTGTGTACATAGGTGATTTCCACATGAAAATATATCTATAGACTAAATGCTTGTTTAAGAGTATGTGTGATTTATAATTTTTATTGGCAAATTGCCCATGAAGGAATTGTATCAGTTTCACTTATACTAACAGTGTATAGTAGTGACTTTTTCCTGGTTTTCCTGTAACCTTGCCAAAGCCAGTTTTTTTTCTTTACTAATCTGACAGGTGAAAAATGTTTTTTTTTTCTTTTTTCTTTTTTTTTAAAATATAGCTTTAGGTGGGCATGGTGGCTCACACCTGTATAATCCCAGCACTTTGGGAGGCCAAGGCAGGTGGATCACTTGAGATCAGGAGTTCAAGACCAGCCTGGCCAACATGGTGCAACCCCATCTCTACTAAAAATACAAAAATTAGCCAGGCATGGTGGCACATACCTATAATCTCAGCTACTTGGGAGGCTGAGGCAGGAGAATCACTCGGGAGGCGGAGGTTGCAGTAAGCCAAGATGGCATCACTGCACTCCAGCCTGGGTGACAGAGCAAGACTCCATCTCGAATATATATATATATGTAGCTATAATTAGGAGCAAATTCAATATGTGTAATTTTGCATATCTTTTTAACATGCTTATGTGCTATTACTATTTCCATTTCTAGAAACTTTATTTTTTGTTGATCTTTTACTTACTAGTTTGTAAGAATTCTATATATAATGAGTAAATTAGCCTCTTTTTTGTGGTTTGGAATTCAGAAAATTTCCCCGTTTGTTATTTATCTTTTGGCCTAGTTATGGTGTTTTTGTTTTTGTTTTTTTCTGTGGTGTGTGTGTGTGTTTTACCATGTAAGTTTAATAAAACTCATCAATTTTTGTCTTTTATGCTTCACTCTGCTCCAACTATAGTAACCTCCTTGTTACCTTTCAAATATGCTAGATACTTTCCAACTTCAATGTCTTTTATTTCCTGTTCTCTACACCTGAAATTCTCTTCCCTGAGATAAATATTTCATTTCCTCCTTCACCTCTTTTGAGTCTTTGATCAAATGTCAGCGTTTCATTGAGACTTTCCCTGACCACTCTATTTTATATTACAACCTCCCCTTCCCTGCTTTGTTTTCCCTCCATCACATGGAGCTCACAGACTTTTGAGATATTTATTAGTATTTTTTTCAGATCAGATTGGAGTTTACCCATACAAATGAAGCAAGTGGGAATTAATATTTTTAAAGTGGTTGACTCAGGAGACTAGACACTTGGTCCAGTGAAGCTATCATTGCCCAAAATATTTTTATGATGATTTCTTTTAAGAACTGCCTTCAGAGACAGATTAAAGTCTTACAAAGAGAGTCCTGTGTCCAGAAAGCAATGTGTCTCAAAGTGTGGCCATTAATCACTTGCATCAAAATTACCTGGGGTGGGGTTGGAGACGTATTAAAAAGGCTGTTTCCTGACTCAAATCTATTGAATCACCTTCTCTGTGGGAATGGGGCTGAGGAACTTGCCTTTTAAATAAATTCCCTAGGTGATTTATAGGCCACTAAAGGTTTAGGATCACTGCCTTTACCTTAGTTTCCCCTAGCTTAGTCATATACTCTGTTTTCCTAACTTAGTTTAGTTTAAACCAAAGATTTAGGATTATGCTATGGTTTGAGCATCCCCACCGAAACTCATATGGGAACCTTAATTCTTAGTGTGGAAATGTTGGGAGGTGCAACCTTTAAGAGGTGGAGCCTAATGGGAGATGCCTGGGTCATGGACCCACCATGTCCTTGACTGTTCTCATGGTAGTGGGTTCTCCCTCTTGTTCTCATTAAGCTAGTTTAGCAATCCCAGGAATGGATTTCTTCCCAGGAGAGCAAGTTGTTATAAAGGGAGGATGCCCTTTCCACATGGATCCACTTCCCCCTTGACCTTTCGCCATATTATGATTAAATATAAATGTATTTAAAAGAAAATAGTGATTTTAGTTTTGTATCCAGTTGTAAATGTTTAAAATTTTGTGGTATTGTACAAATGCAGCATCTATAATGTATTGTCTTATTTTCTAAATATTGATACCTGCCCATTCATTTTCTGAATGGAAAAAAAAAAACAGTGACAGTGTTGGTTTAGTCAACAAATCTTTGCTAATGTATCTTCCTGTGCAAAATAAAGTCTCATAGAGCTGGCCTGTAGCTATAAACTATCATTTTTAATCCTAAAAGAAATGATGATAAAAGTGTTAAATATTATTATGCATTTAATAATAGTAAAATAGCGACCAATTTTAAGGGCCTACCATATTTTAGGCACAAGTCCAAGTGTTTTCTGTATCTTAACTTATTTCATCCTTACAAGAAGACAAGTGTTTTAAAGGTAAGTGTTATTTCCACTTTATACCTGAGGCTCTTTTAAACTCATGGGAATCACACTGAAATATGTAGTAATCAGGAACCCTTAAATAGAGTAGTTGACAGTTTTGTGCCCTCTATTTTTTATCAAATATTCTTCCTTTTACAGCACCTGGTATACGGTAGGTAGGCAGTGAGCATTTGTGGAATTTCATCTCCCTTCCCCTAAATTGCTAGGTTCCATTTAATATATATTTTATGTTAGAGTATAGCTTGGTGAAAGCCAGTGACTTAGGTAATTATGACTTAAGTTGAAAGAAATTAAACAATATCCTGTTTTGAATTTAAACAAGATTACTTTTTGCCATATCTGATTTATTAGTAATCCTGGTTTCCGTTAACAAGATAGAAATATCTATGCTTCAGCAATGAAAAATTTTACAAGTGATTAATACATGCTAACCATCAGATATTCTGTTTATATTTCTCTCCAAACTTTAGATTAAAACCATTTCATCTTATCTTACCAGTTTTCTAATAGCAAGAACTGGAAAATATAAAAGTATATCTGACTTATGATTAACTATTTCATTTCACTCATTGCCTCAACCCTTCCTTCATCCTTCTCTCCCTTCTTCCCTTGTATCATTCCCTTAGTGAGGGCATTTATTGTCTTTTCAAATTTGTAATTTTAGCATTTGGCCTTGGGTTGATTTGGCAACTCGTTAGTCCCCTCCTCAAATGTTCTATGATGGGCAGGCTGTTCAATTTATTCAGAAATTGTATTATTTAAAAACAGAGCCATTTCCCTTTGTTGTAGAGTGGTTTGCCCTTGCTTCCCCACTTTGGGTTTGAGATTGCAGGAATTTACTTATGGAAACCATTTATCACTTTATGACATCTAACTCTGATGAATGCCATGTGCAGTTGGGTTGACAACTTTGGCCCTGCCACTGGATGCACTGGTACACTTTTATCTCTTCAAAAGGAAGAAAATACCACAATTATGAGAACCATGCATTTTATCTTTAAATGACTGGTTTTTCCCCATCTATTTTCCTTCTAATGTTTTGAACTGAATTTTTTGCTGCTGGTAGTGTTATAAATGGTAGCCCTGTGCATAAATGATCTTGGGAGGAAGAAGCAGAGTCTCCTAGCCATGAGAAAGATTTGACATCTGTACTGTGAAGTACCACCTTCTTGTTAATTATAATGGAATGAATTGACAAGTAGGAATTTTTACAATTTCATACTGTCCATCAGCCCTACAGGCTCTTGATGATTGCAATTTGAAAATCTCAAACATAATTCATATTTTAGGAAGATTGATCAGATTAATTAAAATTTTAAGTCTCTCTTTGATTAGAACAAATTGTTGGTTAAGGCTACCATAAAGTGTCAGCTGGTTGTGTGATTCCTGTGTATCTCCCAACTACTTCCAAAAAATTAGAGTGATTTTCCAATAACTAGCAGAAAATTGATCACTTTGTTGTTGTTTTTATATAATTTATTGAATGGCTGTGTGCTTTGCGATCTGCACCGCAAACATGCTTTGTATAGTGGTGAAAGTTTTGTTATATATTATTTTATACCCAATAAGATATCTACATTTTCATAATTATTTTATCTTCTTGCTCATTTTCACAAAAAGAATATGGGAAGTACACAATTTCCAGGCAAAATTATGTTGAGATGGAATCCTTAAAACCACTGAACTTGCCTGCTTTTCCCTTTTTTTTTATTTCTCTTCTCTCTCTCTCTTTCTTTCCTTTATTTCTTTGTTCTTTCTTTTTTTGGTAGGTATCCTGTTTAGCTAGTACTAGTACTTAATAGCACTTATGGGCAGATAATTTGTTATATCTGCTTAATTAATCCATTGGTGTGAAAGCAACAAGGACTTACTCCCTTTTGTGGGAAATGACATTCCAACTATTTTTTTGACATCTTTTGTTTTTGAGGTTGCCAATGATCAGGCCAGAGTCAAGACTGACTCAAAATATTTTAGAAAAAAGCACAAAAAGATCCTAATTTTCTAATCTCACGATCTATACATCCCTATCGATGAGTTAAGCTATATGGGTGTGAAATTTGGCATAGAAGGTTAGGCTGCTTGAGCACCTTTTATCCCATCATAGTTGTGGAATGTGAGAATTTGAATTTTGATGGTGGCACTGATATGAAATTGCCATGAGGTCTGGTTATTGCTCTTCTGAATGTGTATTTAAACCTGCCTTCCAATGAACTTATTGCAATGGTGCTAACTTAACACTCTTGCCAACAGTTCTAGTGGCCCTTAGCAGCACCTACTTTCTATAGTCATAGCACAGATTTTATGGAGGATTCAGTCTAAATTTCTGAGATGAATTTCTATAGACAGAAAATGTATTGGCTTTAAAAATTAAGAGGTTTGATTCTGTTTTGAATTTGGATATCAAATGAATGTGAACACATGACATTTTAATGCCGTTTGTCTTTTCAAATAGATTTACCTTCTAATGCATGTGATGACAGGACTTTGCTCATCAGCTAGAACATACATTTCAGAGGAGTTGTTACCTAAAATATTATCATAAGGCATAAGAAAACACACGATTTAAGTTGCCTTTCATGAACATAATTAAGAATTAATAAGCCAGTACCAGTGGCTAGTCCCCAGAATTTCCACTGTTTTGCCTTTTGTGACCTGTGTTATTAAAAGTCCATTATTTTTACAGACTTTATTAAATTGGATCTTATTAAAGCATTCTATATTTGCATTTGGTCTTTCATAATTCATTATTATTATGACATTTACTTTTTACCATCAGATCTGAAAACATATCATAAGCTACCCTTTTCTCTTGAAAGAAATGCTAATTTCAAACAGTCCTCTAATAGAAGAGAAAAGCTTTATCAGTTTTTTCATTTATTCCAGATCGTGTTAAGAATACTAATGCTAGACTTCAGTATGCTAATATCTCAGAGCTTTTTTTGGTCAAAAGCTTAGAATTATTATTTTTATCTCATGCTAAGTATGAAACTAGAAGACCTACTACTACTGGAGAAAACATAATTGTAAAGTACAGTTGTTGATTCTGAAGACTTGTGAAAACGTTGCTAAATTCTGTTTTTTAGGATGATGCTAGTCAATTTATCTTTGCACAACACTATATTATTCTATTTAAGAAATTTTATCCTCTTGAAATTAATGTAGTTTGTTTTTCTCATAGTTTAAAGGTAGTGTTGTAGTGTTTAAGGCTAAGAATCCTGCCGGGTGCAGTGGCTCACACCTCTAATCCCAGCACTTTGGGAGGCCGAGGCAGGTGGATCACAAGGTCAGGAGTTCAAGACCATCCTGGCCAAGATGGTCAAACCCTGTCTCTACTAAAAATACAAAAAAAATTAGCCAGGTGTGGTGGCGGGAGCTTGTAATCACAGCTACTCAGGAGGCTGAGGCAGAAAATTGCTTGAACCCGGGAGGCGGGGGTTTCAGTGAGCCGAGATCACAACACTGCACTCCAGCCTGGGTGACAGAGAGAGACTCTGTCTCAAAAAAAAAGACTAAGAAAAGAATCCTATGCTGTCAGCCCCAGACAGCATTTAGGGTATGCTTCCTGCTTTTCTATATGATAATCACTTCTGTATTATGTCAGATATGTTTGAAAACTCAATATAGCAAGATTTTACATATTGATATCAGGCAGGCTGTCTAATTTAACATAACTAATAACACAATGAGTTCTTTGTTGAAGTACTAGTAAATCTATTAAACTACAAAGCAAAACTTACTTTGTATTTTGTCTCCTTTTAGATTTCTCACTATGTGCAATAGACACTTTGGCAGTGTTGTGGCACAAACCATTCGGACTCAAAAAACGGATCAGTTTCCGCTTTTCCTGATTATTATGGGAAAGCGATCATCTAATGAAGTGTTGAATGTGATACAAGGTAAAGTACATGTCACAAGGAGAGTAAAGCCTTCCTGGTATGTGATAACTTTATAGTTTTTCCACCCAAGCTGACAATATTTCTATTAGTAAATATCTTTGCATTTGAAAATATAGAATATCCTGAAAAATGTCTTCAAAAAATATAGGTGCTATAAAAAATAATATGCTGCATGAAAATCTAAAAGAAACATCTTAATAAAATTGCACAACCCTTGGGGCACAGGATGTTCAAGTTAAATGTTCAGAATTGCTAAATTGTATAATCTATCAATTAGGACATAATCAGTTGTCAAGTGTGACATTTCTATTTATATTGATTTATTGTTATAATGTTGATTAATTGGAAGAAGTACTTATCTTTAGTTATCTAGAAAATCCAGTCACTGTATATTGAAGATTGAATTTTTCACAGTGACAATTGTTTCTTCTTATTTGTATGATTCCATGTTTAGGGTGCAACCCTGAAGCATGAAGCTGTGGGATGCCTGTGAATTTAACCACAGTGCACATTCTTTACCAAAAAAGAAGTGAATGATTTTGTTTTGTTTACTGTTAGTAATGCACTCCAAGGGTTGGTGTAAAATATTACCTTGTTCATTACAAAGCTTAGGTTGAACAGTATATCTTCTCTATGCCACTGGGGAAAAGATTTTCAAGTGCCTCAAGCTAAAACTATATCTGGTATACTAATTTCTGCCTCCATTTAAGTCTGATTGGGAGGAGGGGATATGTGTAAATTGCAGTGCCTTTAAAACCCAAATAAAACCAGACCTCTAGCATTTTATGTTTTCTCTATAACTAGAGCATTCAATTTCATAAACAGTGTTTAAAAAGACCTCCAGGGGAACTGATTTGCATAGGGTAAATGGATAATGAAGATAACACTTCATTCCTGCTTTCCCTGTCAGAGGCAATGTTGCAAGAACTAGTGTTTCTCAAGGTGTGGTTTGTAGACATCAGACTAGACCCTTTTAGGATATCTGTAAGGTCAAAATTATTTTCCTAACTGTAATAAGACTTTTTTTTTTTTTTTTTTGCCTTTTTTACTGTGTTGACATTTGCACTAGTGGCTCAAAAGGAATAGTTTATAAAAACTCTTGGCACCTTAGCACGAATCAAAGCCATAACACAAAACTGCAATAGTAGTCATATTCTTCATTGCCATGTATTTAGTTAAAAAAGAAAAGAAAAAGCCTTAAGAATGTCCTTGATGAAGCAGTAAAAATTATTACTTTTATTAAATTTTAACCCTTTTAATAGTTTATGTGGCACAATGGGAGGTATGGGTAAAGCACTTCTGCTGCATACTAAAGTATACTGGTGGTCTGGAAGAAAAGCACTGGTGTGGTTGCTTACACTGAAATACTTGCTTTTTATTTCTTATAGAAATTATTTTTACTTGAAAATATTACTGACAGGCAAACTATGCTTATGTAGCCTGGGTAGTTGCCAAGATGTTTTCTGTGATTTTTTTTTTTTAATATCCTATAATGAAGTGTGTCAGCATTCAGCAGAGAAATGCATAACTCAGTGAACCAATATTTTACAAATGACCAATGTATGTTATAAAATCATGTATAGATAAAAGATCCTTTCAAAGGGCAATAGATTTTAATGTAACAGAGTACACAGATTTCATTGATACGGTTTCAAATTCCATGTGCATCTAATTTGAAGAAAACTTACACTTGTCAGTTTAAGTGTATTATCAAAGAACATCCACATTTATGAAAATACTTGTCCCTTTTCCAACTACATATCTTTGTGTGACCAGATTTTCTTCGTAAATTTCAACCAGTACAATATATTGTAACTGGTTAGTGTAGATGTAGGTACGAGAATACAGAATACGGTTGTTTTCTATTAAGCACACACATTACAGAGATTTGCAAAAATGTTACAATGCTGCTCTTCTCACTAAACTTTTTCTTTTGGAAAATAGTCATGTTTCATAAAAATGTAATATTTATATTAACATGTAATGGGTTTATTATTGTTACTTTTAAATGGATTGATAAATTTATTTTAAATATTTCTATTTTAATTTCTAACACAGTAAATGTTAATAGCCATAATCCACATAAACAAAAGTTCTTTGGGGATCTCAGTAATTTTTAACAGTGTAAAGGGGTCCTGAGACCAAAAAGTTTGAGAACTGCTGCAATCAACTATAAAGAGTAAGTTTGCCCTGAACTGCATTAACTGGTATACTTTTTCTCTGTCTTTGATCAATAAGGGCTTAAATATGTAGTACCTACAAGTCCAGTTTGGCAATGGAGCCTTCCAGTTAGGGCTAAAACATAGCTGATAAGCAGTGACTTAAGCCTAAAAATTAGTGGTCAGTATGTAGTCAACCTATACAACTATAGTATTTTCCCACTGATGATTCCAGTGTACTCCATATAGTACCCATTTCCCATGCTCCGAGTCTTAGCCACTACAGTTTTTAAATAAAACATAGAAACCCAGAGACTTGCCCAATAATAAAATCTACATTGGTTAGGTGTGGTGGCACATACCTATAATCCCAGCTACTTGGAAGGCTGAGGTGGGAGGATCACTTGAGACCTGGGCAACAAAGCGAGACCCTGTCTCAAAAGAATAAAAAATCTACACTGAAGGTGCTCCTAAACTTCTTTTGTCATCTGTCATATCTATTAATATTAACTACCAATGATTTGTATATACTTTACGTTATCTCCACTCCTTCTAAGAACACTACATAGTGTTATCTCCATTTTGAGAAAAGGAAATTGATCCTTAGAGAGCTACAGTCCATTTATTCACTTATTCATTTATTTATTTATTGAATAAATATTCATTAAAGCCTTTGTCATGTGCCAATTTCCAGGTACTAGATTATATAGCTTGTAAGTAATGGAATTAGAGTTAGAACTCTGACTATAAAACCAGTTCTGTTTTCTTAGTGCCAAGATAGCATTTGTCCTGTAACTCATTTACTGAGTGAGTAGTACTGATGTGAACAAATTAGATCATTTCTTTTGCCAAGGACCATAGATGTTCCCTAAACCCATGCTGCCAATGGTCATAAGGATAATTAGGGAAAGGACCACTGAAAGATCATGTTAGTCAAGCCCTCTGGAAAAATGCCAGCAAGAATGTTTGGTCTTTATTGTCCTGTAAAGGATGGCCATTGCATTAATGGAGAAGAAGATCCCTTCTCAAGCCTTGGAGAAAACCTAACTCTTTCTGCCTGTAGGTTTGAGAGAAGAGAATTGTCATATCTTTATATATCCTCATGAATTTTTCTTTTGTAGGTACATCCCAAGCAAATAACAATGACTTAAATGTGTTCAGGAAATGGCACATATGTGCTATATGTTTGTTATGGACTCGGTTGGAATAAAATGACATTAAAGAAAATCAAACATTAAAAATACCTTCTTTATAAAGATCATAAGAATCATTTAAAAGCAGCTGAAAGGGAGAAATATCAATTGGGCAAAAAAAGAAATCTTTTTTTCAGAAATTGAATTACTATTTCTTTCACTGGAGGATTTTTGATGATAGAAGATAATTGTAAGTAAAGGTAATAGACTGAGGTGGGCGGCAAAGAGGACAGGCTTCGAGTCAGCCTCTTCTGGTTTCAGATTCTGGCCTCACCACTTAACCAGCTTGACCTTAGTCAGAGAGGTTTTTTTGAGCTAAGACTCATTTTTCTTCTCTTTAAAACCAAATCATAATGAATCCTTCATAGATTTGTTGTACAGATTAAATGAGATGGTATAAAAGTGCTTAGCCTAATCAGTGATATATAAACAATTGGTAGTTGTTGCTAGTGTTATTAACAAGATATGTTTTCATAATTTGACAGAACTTTTGAACTTCATGATTTGGACATTCTTCTATATAGTGCTAAAAGTCCTTCTCATTAAGAAACTGCTCCCTCAAATATAACTTCCGAAATTTCAACTGCCAGTATACTACTATTTCTTATTGAACATATGAAACATTTCAATAAAACCACAAAAGTATTTTAACTGTAATTTTTTTAGACTGATTATTCCTTTCTGGTTAATTCTAGAATGACTTTCCAGTTTCTAATACTTTAATAATTTGAAGTTATATATAAAATGATTATAAAAGTTTGGCAATCTCTATATGTTTTTAGGGAACACAACAGTAGATGAGTTAATGATGAGACTCATGGCTGCAATGGAGATCTTCACAGCCCAACAACAGGAAGATATAAAGGACGAGGTAAGGTTATGCAGATCTTTAATAGGATTTTGATGAGATTTTAATAGGATTTTAATTTGTCAAATGATGATACATGCCTATGATATGATCGATAAATAAGGATGATGAAGATGCATTTCCAAATTTACCAAGGGTTTTTATGCTATGGAGTTTACCTTTCAGTCCATTCTTTTTATGACCCCAAGACCCAATAATTTGTTTTAATTTATGTACTATTTACACTTTGCTAGATTTGGGGTGGGTACAGGAAGTCGATTTGCAAGAAATTAGTTCAGAAGCATGTTTATAGAAGAAACTGTAGTCCAGGAAATTATGTCTACTATATGGATTTTATCACTCAGTTTTATGGTCCTCTTACTCTTTTTAAATATTGAGATTAATTAGCAATAAACACATTTTACATTTGAATATATTTTTGAAGTACTGTGAGCATTAGCAAAAGATCTCCAGCATTCTGAATTTCTCAGCTTCCTTAACATATTCAGGTGTTTTCTCAACCTCCTAAACATATTCAGGTGTTATAGATAACATGAACATAGAACCTCAAATAAAATAATAATAAAAACATTATCGATGACAATAGTGTTCAATACTTACCTAGTATTTATCATGTGCTAGGCACTGTGCTAAGCACTAATCATCATCTCATATGATCCTCAAAATAACCCGTGAAGTTGTATATCAATCAGTGTTATGGCAGTAAATAGACACTTTTAAACTAGGTTATTTAAGAAGAGTTTAATAAGGTGACCATTTTTAAAGATGTGGGCAGGGTTTTCAAAAATCAACAGAAGAGGCTGGGCACAGGGGCTCACACCTGTAATCCCAGCACTTTGGGAGGCTGAGGTAGGTCGATCACTGAGTTCAAGACTAGCTTGGCCAACATGGTGAAACCCCATCTCTACTAAAAATACAAAAATGAGCTGGGTATGGTGGCATGTGCTTGTAATCCCAGCTACTCGGGAGGCTGAGAGGCAGGATAATCGCTTGAACCTGGGAGGTGGAGGTTGCAGTGAGCCAAGATCATGCCACTGTACTCCAGCCTGGGTGACAGAGTGAGAATATGTCTCAAAAAAATTATCAGCAGAAGATAATATAGACCCCAAGGCTAAAGGGAACCATTATCATCTCTAGGCCTGAAAGCCTAGGAGAGGGTGCTGTATGGAGAGGACTGCTTCTGACAGAGGGATATAGCCAACCTTGGTGGCCTAATAGAGAGGAAAGTAGGGAATAGCTTCACCTTCCTTCTCTAATCTTCTGCTAGTATCCCTATTAATTTAGCCTAATTAGAAGCTGGAAGGTAGGAGAGCCTCCATGGGCAAAAAGCTGTGTAGAGAACATGGATCCTGAGGGGGTAAATGGCAGATAATCTAGCACAGATTGGTATGATTATCTATACTTTTCAGATGAGAACACTGAGAGTCAAAATTAAGTAGATTTGCCCAAGGCCATATAGCTGGTAGGAGCTATAAATAATTATCTCAAGAAGTCATTATTACGTGGATCATTCAAGAAATTTCTGGATTTAGAAAATAGCCTTAAAATATGAAACAAATATTAGCATTTGTTAATTTGAGATGTTATGTTCACAGATATTGGTAAGATTATCATTTTTAATTTATGTGTTTTAAATTTCTTTTTAAAAGATTTCCCTAGAACACGTAAGGGAGAGTTTTATTTCTGAACAATGATGAAAAGTTTCTAAGGATAGTTTTAATAGACTATCCTTTAGGTATTGCAAATGTGAAACATATAGACAATTTTAATATAGCCCTGAACTATTGTATTTTAGTTTATTTATCGCTGTATTACATTAAACTGAGAGCAAGAGTCATACCATATTCATCTTTGTAAGTCTGTCCCCTAACAGTGTACTTAGGACAAAGTCAGCACTTAGTAAATGTTTGTTAAGCAATTGAATAAATGAACATTTGAATTTACATAAAATAAAGTAACTTGAAAAAAAAATTTGGTTACAATGATATAAAACCTGGCCAGGGCTCGGGGGTGGCTCACACCTGTAATCCCAACACTTTGGGAGGCCAAGGTGGATGGATCACTTGAGCTAAGGATTTAAGAGACCAGCCTGGGCAACATGGTGAAACCCCATCTCTATAAAAAATACAAAAATTAGCCAGGGGTGGTGTTGCGTGCCTGTAGTCCCAGCTACTTGGAGAGCTGAGGCTACAGGGAGCCATGTTCATGCCATTGTATTCCAGCCAGGGCAACAACGTGGGACCCTGTAACAAGTATAGCCCAGCACAGTGGCTCACACCTGTAATCCTAGCAGTTTGGGAGGCCAAGACAGGAAGATGGCTTAAGGCCAGGAGTTTGAGATCAGCCTGGGCAACATAGCAAGGCCCCATCTCTACAAAAAAATTTTAAAAACATTAGCTGGGCATGGTGGTGCATGCCTGTAGTCCTAGCTACTCAGAAGGCTCAGGTGGGAGAATCACTTGAGCCCACGAGTTGAAGGCTGCAGTGAGCTATGCTTGCACCACTATACTCCAGTCTGGGTGACAGAGTGAGACCCTGTCTCTTAAAAACAAACAAACCAAAAAGATAAATTTTAAAATATTTTTAAAAAATGAAACCCAATATATCCACATTAACAAATATGAAAATTTGGAGCACTGTAATTAGTTTATAGAGTTTTAATGCTCACTAGGTATCTTCTATTGCTATAAAAATATGGTTTATACTTTTTCTTAATAGTCAATGTTTCATTTACTCTGAAGGAAAGGCATTCAGATACATGGTAGAAAGATGTTTATCTGTTACTCTATAAATTGACAGTGACATTTTGAAATAATGAAGTACTGTACTTAGTTAGGAATTTGTAATAATAGGTGTTTTGCCTTTCAAGATTACATTTATCCTGGAACAGAGGCATTGATTGACAATAATTCACTAAAAACATTCTTCAGCCATTTAAATCTTGAGTCTCATTAGTACCAGATTTACAGATTATGCTGTATAAGAATATGAATACACAATATTTGCATGCTTATTCCCAGTTCATTTTTCCATCTTAATTTGTGTTCCCCATAATGCACTGGTAAAGAAATTTACTTTAATTCCTTTAATACTGAGCACAAAATTGAATATGAGGGTTACAGGAAAAATCCAATGCTCCATATAATTGAAATTTTTATTGAAATTTAATTGCAAGAGGTAAGGATTTCTCTTTGTTTTTAGAGTGTCTTCATGAAAGTTATAGCTCAAGTTATAATAGAGTTCCTAAGAAAAGCATTTCTAACTTTAAAGACTTCTTTTGGACTATACATAGACCATAATGATTTGGTAGCTGCTGAATATGTGACAAGAAACACTGTCCCTTGTAATTGTGAATTTGCCTTTATTTTTAAAAAATTAGAAATAAGACTTAAGTTTGAAATTAAAATTAAATCAGTGAACAGGTTTGGAGGCTGGCTTCCTAGGCCTGAATTTATTTAAATTTAACTTTAAATTGTATTCATCACTTTGATGATTCCATAGCACAACCGGAAATACCTATGTTTAAAACTTTTGTTAAATAAACCCAAGCCTGAACCATATTTATACACTGAATCACTCTTCAGTGGCCCAGAAAGGACTAACCTTTATATCACTGATTGCTCTATTTTTAACCAGGGTATATACATTATATGGATCTCTGTTTTTGACAGAACTGCCTATAGCTTTCTCTCTTAGACATTTTCATTAGTAGTATTTGGTTTTGTAAAGGTTTACAAAGTACCTACCAAGTACATATCACTGGATGAGGTCCTTGGGACAAAGAAATCTTTTGCTTTAATGAGGGGCTATTGGCAAAGAGTGGGTGAGGAGGAAAACAAGTATTACTACATTACAGTAGCGACATTTTAGAATCTATTTTTGCCTAAAGCCTGATTCCAAATAATAGATGCTTCCTAACATGTAAATGGATTGATTTTTTTATATGCACTGTTTTTTAAGCTACCTAGAAACCTCTGATAATCAAGAGTTTGTGATACTTAGTTTGTGATCTATTTATTGTTTCATTTGTTTATTCATTCAACACAAATTAGTTTATAATCCTCTATCCTGCTTGCAAGGATTACTCACTTCCAGGCTTACCTCTCTGATTAACTTGTATCTGAACAATAGCTCGGTAATTATCACAATCCAGATGTTGGAGATCAGGGCAGATTTCAAGGGCAGTTACATCATTCTCATCTCTAGGAATTCTAAGAATACATTAGTGGAACATGGGCAAAATATGCCAGAGGGGCATTCTAGGCTTATTTTAAAGGGTTCTAATTTAGGATTTAAAAACAGCATTGCCACACTGTAGGGAAGATAACGTTTATTACCTCACAGCAGCCTTTTTGTTGCCAAAGGAAATTGTTGGCTTTGTTGTTTGCTACAAGTGTGTAACTTTTTCCCCTAAGCTTTGTCTTAGTCTGTTTTCAGCAGTGCATTCCTTTTCCTTTCCTTTGTTTAAAATCTCATCACCATCATACCCCTTCTGTTTGCAGAGCTAACAATGACAAACAGAATACTGATTCTGGCTTCTGTTGCAGTTTGTTTTTTGTTGTTGTTGTTCTTGTTGGTTGTTTGTTTCATTTTTTGGGTACACAGTAGGTGTATATGTTTATGGAGTACATGAAATGTTTTGATACAGGCATGCAATGCGAAATAAGCACATCATGGAGAATGGGGTATCCATCTCCTCAAGCATTTATTCTTTGAGTTACAAACAATCCAATTACATTCTTTAAGTTATTTTAAAATATACAATTAAGTTATCATTGACTGTAGTCATCCTGTTGTGCTATCAAATAGTAGGCTTTATTCATTCTTTCTATTCTTTTTGTACCCATTAAACATCCCCACCTCCCCCCACCACCCTTCCCAACCTCTGGTAACATCCTTTTACTATCTATGACCATGAGTTATTGCTGTTTTCTTTAAAGCAGGAATAAATCATCTCAAGACACAGAGAACAAAAACAATCTCTTGGTACAAAAATTAAAGCAAAACTTACTAAACAGACCTTTAAAAGGAGATTTTACTCTTAGTCTTTAAAAAATACACACACACACACTCATACATATATACATATATACATACACACACACACACACACACACACACACACACACACACCACTTCTTAAAGCTAGCAAAACTACTCACTGGTCAGTAGTTCTGTTAAGAGAATTTTCC
Source organism: Homo sapiens (assembly GCF_000001405.40). NCBI lineage: Eukaryota > Metazoa > Chordata > Mammalia > Primates > Hominidae > Homo > Homo sapiens. Next base: position 50,530,179 of record NC_000001.11, on the reverse strand, counting down.
CTGAGATAGCTGTATATAAATTTATATGTGAGATTAAAAATCCAAAAATACGATATTTTTAAACATTAGAATTCCACTGAAAATGCTAAAATTATAAAAGTTCTAATATTTAAAAGTAACTTCAAGGAGAAAGGGCTGTGTTAACTGTTGATGATTAGGTTACTAAATGGTTAGCCAACCACACCATAGGTGCCTTTCTGAAGGTAGCTACATTCTGCTTAGAAAAATAGTTACTTATCCAGTGATTTTTCTCCTTTCTGAGGCCCAAATCACAGAAAATTAATTTCTCTCACTTTGATTTATGTATTCATTTCATAAATATTTATTGAGCTTTTAGTGTATACCAGACACTGTGTAGGGCCTAAGAACACAGCTGTGAGCAAGATAAACAAGGTCCTTAGGCTTACAACCCAGAAATTCCAATAAAGTTTATCAACTAATCAGGTGGATGAAGCCCAGGGAGCAACTAGCCAGGGTGAGCCAGACATGTTCTCAAGCTACAAGGCAGGTGGAACAGGTAAGAATGTAGATAATAACAGCTATTCTTCAGCTTCCTGCTACATGCTGGGTTCTTTCTTCTGGGGCAATGTTTCTCAGTGTGATTCCTGAACTACTGGAGTACCTATCTACTAAGATTCCCAAGCAGTTAGATATGAATAAGCAACAGGTTGATTTTTGTTCACATTTATTTCACATTTTGAATGTAAGATAAATTATATTCTTCCAAATCCCATTTAATTTATCACATCTGTTACAATTTATTAGACTGTTAATAGATAATAAGGATTGATTGCATTGATTGTTTTGTCTTGGCAAGCATTCATTTAACAGAGGTGTTTGACTCTGACATCTGAACTTCATGTCATTCATATGTTATTGTCAGATTTACATTCATTTTTCCTTGCTTAAGTCAATTATATTCTTAGCTTCCCAAAATGGATCATGGCTCAACAATGGTTCATTGAAACATAAAAGTAATGATGAATATAGTATAATAAATAACTGCAAACCAGTACAAACTAGTGTAGTTCAAACTACAGTTAACTCTTAAACAACGTGGAGGTTAGGGTGTCAACTCTTGACACAGTCAAATGCAGGTATAACTTTTGACTCCCCCAAAACTTAACTACTAACAGCCTACTGATAACCAGAAGTCTTACCAATAATATAATTGATTAACATGTATTTTGTATGTTATATGTATTATATAGCGCATTAATAAAGTGAACTAGAGAAATAAAATGTTATTAAGAAAATCCTAAGGAAGAAGAAATGTATTGCCTCTTCATTAAGTGGAAGTGGATTATCATAAAGGTCTTTGTTCTTGTCACCTTCACGTAGAGCAGGCTGAGGAGAGGTGGAGGAGAGGTTGGCCTTGCTGTCTTAGAGGAAGCAGAGCCAAAAGAGGTAGAGGAGGTGAAAGAGGAGGCAGAAGAGGCAGGCACACTCTGTATAACTTCTATTGAAAAAACTCTCCATGTAAGTGGACTTACACAGTTCAGACCCTTGTTGTTTAAGGGTCAACTGTGGTTCAACATTAGTATAGAAATAATTCAAGGAACTCCAGTACCAGTATAGAAGATGCCAAGGCAGCTGAATCTGAGTGTGATTATTTTCATACTAGTTTCCATAAAAGAAAATTTGATTAGGAAGTGAATATATAAAAATTGATCATATAAGAGAAAGAATCCATTTACCCCTAGTGTCAGTGTTTCTTAGAACATTTTTTGATAAAAGCATGAGCCCTTCAAAGTTTTTGCTTCATTATTAAGTAAAGCCTAATGATCTACCTCTCTGTTAAATCAATAGAATTTTTTTTAGAACAGAAGAAAAATAATATCACTAAAGTAAAAAATCTATTGCTAAAAGCAGAGAAGATGCAAAATCCCAGAGGAGAAATTGTTTATAAGTACACTCAAGGTAAAAATGGATGCAAACCCTGCTATTGCCAAGAAACTTGTAAAGCCCCTGCAAAATTGGCCATAAGAAGCTAATGCTCAAAAGAGACAGCAGGCTGGGTGCAGTGGCTCACGGCTATAATCTCAGCACTTTGGGAGGCTGAGGTAGGAGGATCACTTGAGCCCAGGAGTTTGAGACCAGCCTGGGCAACATGTGGAAACCCCATCTCTACAAAAAATAGGGAAAAAAAATTAGCCAAGTATGGTGGTGTAGTCCCAGCGACTCGGGAGGCTAAACTGGGAGAATTGCTTAAGCTCAAGAGGTCAAGGCTGCAGTGAGCTGTGATTGCACCACTGCACTCCAGCCTGGGCAAGAGTAAGACCCTGTCTCAGAGAGAGAGAGAGAGAGAGAGGGAGAGAGGGAGAGAGGGAGAGAGGGAGAGAGAGAGAGAGAGAGAGAGAGAGAGAGACAGCAGAGTAAGTTCTTGGGTTAAATACTTCATCAAATGACACTGTTGGATGGCATATACAATGGTAATGGGGTGGTCAATGGAAGAGTGATAAGTATATTGTGAACACTACTAGAGAGATACTTTACAGTTGGATGAAACTACTAATGTGTGCAAAGTAAGAATCAGTTCTTGTCATATGTGCTGTATGAATGTTGAAGAGGTGGAAGTAGTCATCACTCTTTATTCTATTATCAGTGAGAAATATATATTACAGAAGTTTTTCACTTAGTGATTATTTTGCAAGCTGAGTTAAATTTTAAAAGATGAGGCAGAATCAGTACTGTTGACTAACTACTTCAAAGGACACCACGAAGAAAGTGAAAGTACAACCCACAGATTGGGAGACAATTACTGTAAATCATTAATCTAATAATAAGGGACTTGTATCTGGAATATATAAAGAACTCTTACAACTCAATAACAAAAAGACAAATTATCCCAGCAACAACTGGCAAAGGGTTCGAAAAGATATTTCTCCAAGGACGATATACAAGTGGCCAATAGCACATGAAAAGAAGCTCAACATTATTACTCACCAGGTGACTGCAAATCAAAGCCGCATGAGGTACCACTTCATACCTGCTACAATTTGTAGAATCAAAAAAGTCATCAGGGGCCCGGCACAGTGGCTCACTCCTGTAATCCCAGCACTTTGGTAGGCCGAGGTGGGCAGATACTTGAGGCTGGGAGTTTGAGACCAGCTTGGCCAACATAGCGAAACCCTGTCTCTACTTAAAATATAAAAATCTTTGCTGGGCATGGTGGCACGCACATGTAGTCCCAGCTACTTAGGAGGCTGAGGCAGGAGAATCACTTGAACCTGAGAGGCAGACGTTGCAGTGAGCCGAGATCACGCCACTACACTCCAGCTGGGCAACAGAGCAAGTCTCTGTCTCAAAAAAAAAAAAAAAGTCGTCAGGTAACAACAAATGTTAGCAAGGATGTGGAGACATCTGAACCCTCATTGGCTGCTAGTGGGAATGTAAAATGGTGCAACAGCTTTGGAAAACAGTCTGGCAGCTCTTCAGTTGATTAAATGTAGTTACCATGTAATCCAGCAATTCCACTCCTAGTTATATACTCAAGAGAAATGAAAACCTGTGTCCATGTAAACATTTGTACATGACTGTTTATAGTAGCATTATTCATAATAACCAAAAGGTGGAGGCTGGGCACAGTGGCTCATGCCTGTAATCCTAGCCCTTTGGGAGGCAGAGGCACGTGGATTGCTTGCAGTCAGGAGTTTAAGACCAGCCTGGGCCACACAGAAAAACTCCCATCTCTATGAAAAAAATTTTAAAATTATTTAAAAATAATAAATATTATTATTATTTTTAATAGAGATGGGGTCTCGCTATTTTGTGCAGGCTGGTCTTGAACTCCTGGGCTCAAGAGATCCTCCCACCTCAGCCTTCCAAAGTGCTGGGATTACAGGTGTGAGCCACCATGCCCAGCCTAGAAATAATAAATAATTTTAAAATTGTTTTGGCCAGGCACGGTGGCTCATGCCACCATGAGCAGGCCAAGGTAGGCAAATTGCTTGAGCCCAGGAGATCAAGACCAGCCTAGGCAACATGGCAAAACCCTATCTCTACAAAAAATGGGATATGAAAGCTAACCTACAGGTCAAAACAGGAGTCATTAAACTGGATATAAATAACCTTTGTGAAATATCGCAAACGATATCAATTACCTTCTACTGTTTAGAAACTATCATTAGTATTATTTAAATGTTATGTTTCATTTTTATTATCTAAAAGTTATGATCTTAAAAATTTTCCTAAAGTTTGTGGTTTGCATCTGGGTGAGTATCATGTACTCAGTATTAAAGGAATTAATGTCAGCTTCTTTACCAATGAATTATAGGGAACACAAATTAAGATGAAAGAGTGTACTGGAAATATACATGCAGGTATTTTGCATTCACATTATTATGCAACATAATCTGTAACTCTGATACTAACAAGAGTCAACTGACACAGAAAAAAAATTGGCCAAAATCCACACCCTTTCATCATAAAAACACACAATTAAATAGGAAAAAAAGGGAACTTCCTCAGCATAATAAAGCCCACATATGAAAAACCCACAGCCAACATCGTACTCAATAGTGAACCACTCAAAGCTTTTCTTCCAAGATCAGGAAAAAAGCAAGGATTCCAACTTCCCTGCTGCCTTTTGACATAGGACTGTAACTTCTAGCCAGGGTAGGAAAAAGAAATAAAAGGCATACAGATTGGAAAGGAAGAAGTAAAATTATCTCTATTTGCAGATGGCATGATCTTACATGAGAAAACCCTAGAGATTCCACACCAACAAAAAAACTGAGCTTAAAACAAAGTCAGCAAACTTGTAGGATATGAAATTAACCCATACGAATCTATTGTATCTCTGTACACTAGCTGTAAGGAATCTGAAAGATACAAACAAATGGAAAAACATTTCATGCTCAAAGGTAAGAAGAATCAATATTGTTAAAATGGCCATACTGCCCAAAGCAATTTATAGATTCAGTGTTATTCCTATTAAACTACCATTGAGATTCTTCACAGAACTAGAAAAAAACTTTTAAAATACATATGGGGGCCAGGCACAGTGGCTCACGCCTGTAATCCCAGCATTTTGGGAGGCCGAGGCGGGTGGATCACCTGAGGCCAGGAGTTTGAGACCAGCCTGACCAACATGGAGAAACCCTGCTTCTATTAAAAATACAAAAATTAGCCAGGCATGGTAGCAGGTGCCTGTAATCCCAGCTACTTGGGAGGCTGAGGTAGAAGAATCACTTGAACCTGAGAAGCAGAGGTTACAGTGAGCCAAGATCTCACCACTGCACTACACCCTGGGCAACAGAGCAAGATTCTGTCTCAAAAAAAAAAATTCATATGGGACCAAAAAAAAGAGCCTGAATAGCCAAAGTAATCCTAAGCAAAAATAACAAAGATGGAGGGATTATGCTACTTGACTTCAAACTATACTACAGGGTTGCAGTACCCAAAATAACATGGTACTGGTACAAAAACAGACACATAGACCAATGGAACAGAATAGAAAACTCAGAAATAAGACCGCACACCTACAACTATCTGATGTTTGACAAAGCTGACAAAAACAAGCAATGGGTTAAGGACTCCCTATTCAATAAATGGTGCTGGGATAACTGGCTCACCATATGCAGAAGATTGAAACCGGACTCTTTCCTTACACCATATACAAAAATTAACTCAAGATAGATTGAAGACTTAAATGGAAAACCCAAAACTATAAAAACCCTAGAAGACAACCTAGGCAATACCATTCAGGACATAGGCATGGGCAAAGCCTTCATGACAAAAATGCCAAAAGCAATAGCAACAAAAGCAAAAATTGACAAATGGGATCTAATTAAACTAAATACCTTCTGCAGAGCAAAACACACATCAGCAGAGTAAACAGACAACCTACAGAATGGGAGAAAATTTTTGCAAACTGTACATCTGACAGAGGTCTAATATCCAGCATTTATAAGGAACTTAAATTTACAAATAACAACCCCATTAAGAAGTGGCCAAAGGGCACGAACAGACACTTTTCAAAAGAAGACATACATGTGGTCAACAATTATATGAATAAAAATCACAGCATCACAGGTCATTAGAGACATGCATACCAAAACCACAATGAGATACCTTCTCACACCAGTCAGAAGGGCTATTATTAAAAAGTCAAAAAAAAAAAATAGATGCTAGCGAGGTTGCAGAGAAAAGAGAGCGCTTACACACTGTTAGTGGGAGTGTAATTTAGTTCAACCATTGTGGAAGACAGTGTGGCAATTCCTCAGAGACCTACAGGCAGAAATGCCATTCGACTCAGCAATCCCATTACTGGGTATTTACCCAAAGGAATATAAATTGTTCTGTTATAAAGACACTTGCATGTCTATGTTCATTGCAACACTGTTCACAATAGCAAAGACATGGAATCAACCTAAATGCCCATCAATGGGAGACTAGATAAAGAAAATGTGGTATATATACACCATGGAGTACTATACATCCATAAAAAAGAATGAGATAACCCACAGAATGGAAGAAAATATTTGCAAATCATATATCTGATAAGGGTTTAATATCCAGAATATATTAAATATATTAACTCCTACAACACGACAACAGAAAATTAAACAATTCAATTAAAAAATCGGCAAAAGACTTGAATAGACATTTCTTCAAAGATATACAGATGACCAACAAGCTCATGGAAAGATGCTCAATGTCAGTAGTCTTTGGGGAAATACAAATCTAAGCCACAAATAAGATGCCACTTCATACCTAGAAGGATGGCTATAATTTTAAAAATGGAACATAAGAATTTATGAGGATGTAGACACAAATTTAGAACCCTTGTACATTGCTGATTGGGATGTAAAATGGCAGCTGCTATGGAAAACAGTTTGTTGACTACTCAAAAAGTTAAATATAGAGTAACCATTTGAACCAGGTATTCCACTCCTGGCCATATACCCAAAAGAACTGAAAACAGGGACTCAAATAGGTATTTGTGCCTGAAAGTTCATTGCATCATTATTCATAATAGCCAAAAAGTGGAAATAATCCAAATATCTATCAACAGATTAATGGATAAAAATATGGTATATCCATACAATGGAATATTATTTAGCCTTAATAAAGGATTGAAGTACTGATAAATGTTGCAACATAAATGAATCTTGAAAATATGCTAAGTAAAATAAGCTAGACACAGAAGGACAAATGTATGATTCATCAATAGGCAAATTTTTGAAAACAATCAAATAGGCAAATTTATGGGGACAGAAAGTAGATTTGAGTTTGCCAGGAACTAAAGATGTAGGGTAAATTGGGAAGTTATTGCTTAAAGGGTACAGAGTTTCTTTTTGAGTAATGAGAATGTTAGGAAATAGATGGTGGTGATAGTTTCACAACATTATGATTGTACTTAATGCCACTAAATTGTATACTTAAAATACTATATTGTATGTTATGTATATTTTACAATAATAATAAAGAGCACAAATAATATAGTTTTCAATTCTTGAGTGCAGAGAAGCGACAGGTTACTATGGGCTGGAAATTGGAAAAGTTATTGATTCTTGGGCTCAGTACTTACGGGGTACTACTGGGAACTGACATAGAGTGGAAAGGATTTGGGCTCTGCCTTCATGAACTTTAATCCTGAGCAGTTTGTTACTCTGTATTAAATTCCAAACTTTTATTTTGTAGGGAAGTAAGGAGTCAGGTGAAGTATCTTAAAGAAGAGACTAAGCTTGTGCTGTGAATTGCTAGGGCCAAGCACTTTGTTAGATACTTCCTTTAAATCATCTCTTCTAGTTTTTATGATAATCTTAAGAGATAGTAATTGCCCCCATTTACTGAGGAGAGAGGAAACTGAGGCTTATAGAGGTTAAGCAATTTGCCCAAGGTAATACAACTGTGTAAAGGCCAGAATACACACTTACAGGCTTTTGATACCTCATGATCCCTTGTAAAACTGAGGTACAATTATATTAAAGATTTATGGGATAAACTGAATCAGTGCTCTTACCAAGATTAGGTAGGATCTGAGTGGGATGATCTGAAGAGCAGATGAGACATTGCCATATTCGCAAATATTATATTCACTAGATTAGAATAAGAAAGTTTCTCTTAATTGCGTACTTCTACTTTTGTGCATGGAATAATGCTCACTTTTAAAAAGATATATCCATACCGTCCCTGTTTACATTTGTTGTTCTTAAAGTGCCTGCTGATAGATCAGTTTATCCATGTCTGACACCTCACAGTAGAAGTTAATAATTGTCATATATGAAACTGATGTAAAGAGATTTGTGACTCAACATTGGCGTTACAATTCAGCACACCTGTTCAGAGCCAGCCCTCCACATTTTTCCCTTTTGCCTGAGGTGAAGACTTCTTCGTGGATTACAGTAACACTTTTTGACAAGCTTAGACTGGGTGGAGTTGCCATGTAATGACAGAACACAATTGATGATATCTCAGTAATGCATTCTTTTTTGATTTGGGCTGTCACCATTTATTACTGTAAAAGCATTCATTGTTAAATAGCTGGCCCAACCTGTCCACTTTTTGTTTTCAGTAATGGCAAGGCCTAAGAAAGTATGTTTAATTTTCTAGTTATGAAATATTAGCTGACTTTGGGGGTAATATATCTAGTTGTATTTTCTTTTATGTAACATTTAAAAAGTAGCCATCTTAGTATTTTCCAAATAAAAATTGAAACCTTCTAAAGCCTTCTCAAGAGGCTATTGAGACCTTCCCAATGTCTTAAACCTGACAGGCACCTAGAAACATTTTTTCTTCTTATACAGATTCTTTTAAAAAGAATTGGAAGAAACTGTTCTTGCCTTAAATATAACACTAACTTGAATTCCTATGTTTGGAGACAGTCATATTCCTCATGAATTTTTATTTCCCATGGGGCCTTATATGGCCATGTTTGCGAGAATTTGGGAGCTGAAAGTACACTTTCATGTGCATTGTACCTTTACCTTGTTTACTACTAAACTGAGGGACTACTACTGGTTGTTTCTGGGGACATTAAAAAAATAGTGTGAGTTCTCACCATAAAAAGCAATAAGTATGTGAGGTTATGCATGTGTTACTTAGCTCAATATAGCCATTCTACAATGTATATATAGTTCAGAACATCAGATTATACATGATATATACAATTTTTGTCAATTAAAAATAATGAATTAATATATAAAAAACAGTATGAGTGCCAGTCCTGTTCTTTAAGGAATTTGTCATCTAAAGTTGGAGAACCAAAGCATATCCTTACAAAAAGTATCCCTAGCAAAGATTTGTTATATGATCTAGAAGAATTCAGAAGGAACAATCTTTATAGTCAGAAAGGACTTTAATAAAGAGCTAAAGTTTTTTGGTTTTTTGAGACAGGGTGTCACTCTGTTGCTCATGCTGGAGTGCAGTGGCACAGTCAGGGCTCACTGCAGCCTCGACCTCCCAGGCTGAAGCAATCCTCCTGCCTCCCTCCCAGTTGCTGGGACTACAGGCGTGCACCACCACACCTAGCTAATTTTTTGTATTTTTAGTAGAGTTGGGGTTTCATCATGTTGCCCAGGCTAGTCTTGAACTCCTGGACTCAAGTGATCCACCTGCCTCAGCCTCCCAAAGTGCTGGGATTACAGGAGCGAGCCCCTGTGCATGGCCTAAGAGGTAAGATTTGATCTGGTTCTGGAAAGTACAGTACAGTTTGCATGTGCAGAGGTAAAAGGAGAGATGATTGCAAGATTGGGAAAACATGAGCAAAGAAATAGTGTAAAGAAGTTGAATTCATGTTGGTCCAGTTTGCAGATCGTAGACAATTTGTGTAGAAAAAATACAGAGAAGGATACTCAGTTGCCTTCCATTAGTATTTTTGACATGTCACTTTTACCTCTCCAAATTACTTTATCCTGATTTTCATGCCTCTCATGGGGGATACTGAGAATTATCTGGCATTTTTCTTCCAGTTACAGATTTGCCTTGACCCTGGTTATTCTTTCCAATTACCTATCATCCCAGGAAACAGGTACTTGCAATATGGTATGAAAAACAGCAATGGCAATAAGTATGATACGGAAATGACACAAACAAGACTTCTTAAGGAGTAAACATTTGAGTCTTAAAGGATGATATGTAGACATTTAGTAGGTAAACTACCATTAATTTGTTTTGACCATTAAATCTACACATTTTTTAGGGACTTGCTATATATCCGCATTGTGCTCAACACCAGGAGATATATGGATGATGCATTCCTTTAGATGATCAGTGACATGCAAACAAAGGATTGCATGTATTATGACATAAATTCCGTGATGGAGATACATGTAGGGTGTTAGAGCTGCCTAGCAGAGTTAGGCCTCACCAGGGCAAATTTTTTAAAGCTGAGACAACAAATTAGCAGCATTGTGGCAGGTAGACTTGTGGAGAAGTATCTTCTAGAAGAAAGAAGGGTACTTTTCCAATTGATGGTTAGATTGGAGGAGTACACTATCAGCCAATAACACACATCATAATTAAGTTAGGGATACTTGGTTAGGCAGAAAGATTCTAATTTCAGATTAGATATTTCACTTTAACAATAGCCATACATACTTCTCATTTCCTATTATACTCATCTTTGCAGAGTATTTTTAGCATAAACCACACCAAAATGTGTTAGAGGTTTTTGGTTTTATGCCTGGACATATATAGGCAAAACGCCCCTATCAAAAATTGTAGCAGACTAGTAAAAACTATTTTCTTTCTTTCCTTCCTTCCTTCCTTCCTTCCCTCCCTCCTTCCCTCCTCCTTCCTTCCTTCCTTCCTTCCTTCTCTCCCTCCCTCCCTCCTTCCCTCCCTCCCTCCCTCCCTCCCTCCTTCCTTCCTTCCTTCCTTCCTTCATTCCTTCCTTTCTTTCTTTCGAGACAGTCTCGCTCTGTCACCCAGGCTGGAGTGCAGTGGCGTGGTCTCGACTCACTGCAACCTCCGCCTCCTGGTTCAAGCGATTCTCCTGCCTCAGCCCCCCAAGTAGCTGGGATTTCAGGTGCCCACCACTACACCTGGCTAATTTTTGTATTTTTAGTAGAGACAGGGTTTCACCATGCTGGCCAGGCTGGTCTCAAACACCTGACCTCGTGATTCTCGCACCTCGGCCTCCCAAAGTGCTAGAATTGCAGGCGTGAGCCACCGTGCCTGGCCGTGAAAACTATTTTAATAGATTTGCTTTTGGAATTATCAACTGCCCACTGTTGTTTCACTGAAGAAATTCACTGCTTGTATGCTAAAATACACATCACAGCTTTGCACAGCTTTGGGAATTTCAATGGATGGAGAACAACCAAAGCTATTATTCACTGCCGTCAAGAATACAAAGTGGTTCAGCCACTCTGATAAACAGTTTCATGGCAGTTTCTCAGAAAGTTAAACATAGATTTAACTTATGATACAGCAACCTACTGCTCGGTATTATTCTAGAAAAATGAAAACTTAGATTCACACAAAAACTTGTGGCTGGGCACAGTGGCTCATGCCTGTAATCCCAGCACTGTGGGAGGCCGAGGTGGGCAGATCACAAGGTCAGGAGATTGAGACCATCCTGGCTAACACGGTGAAACTCCGTCTCTACTAAAAATACAAAAAATTAGCCAGACGTGGTGGGAGGCACCTGTAGTCCCAGCTACTCAGGAGGCTGAGGCAGGAGAATGGCGTGAACCCGGGAGGCGGAGCTTGCAGTGAGCCGAGATGGCACCACTGCACTCCAGCCTGGGCAACAGAGTGAGACTCAGTCTTAAAAAAAAAAAAAAAGAAAGAAACTTGTGCATGAGTGTTTATAGAAGCTGAAGCTGTGTTCATAATTGCCAAAACTAAAAACAACCCAAATGTCCTTTAGTATCCTTTATTGACCTTTGGTGGGTTAAACGAATAAGCATACTGCTCAGAAATAAAAAGGAGCAAACTTTTGATACATACAGCAGCTTGAATGTATCACAAAGGCATTATGCTTTGTAAAATATATCAGTCTCTAAAAGTTATACACTGTACAGTTCTATTATATGATGTTTTTGAAAAGGTAAAAGTGTAGGGACAGAGAACTGGTCAGCGGCTGCTAGAGAGTATTCAGGAAAGCGTGGACTGCAAGGGATACCACAAGGGATATTTTTTGTATGATGAAACTGTTTCGTATCCTGATTGTGGTGGTGGTTACATGAATCTATACATACGTTAGAATTCATAGAACTGTACATTAAAAATAATCCATTTTACTGTATGTTCATTTGGAAATAAAATTAAAAAGGAAAAGTAAGTTTATTTAATGGACTTTAAAATGGGTTTTAACAAAATTTTATTGTTCTTTCATTTGTTTTAATAACTTTTTGGATGCCTTTGATAATGGTGACCATTATAGGCATAAGACTAGGCCATTTGCAAAATCTGTAAGGCAGGTTTTATTATACCCATTTTATAGAAAAGGAAACTGTAACACAGAGCATTTAATGACTTTCCCAAGTCATATGCTAATTGGAAAAATATCTTATTTGACAGACAACAGTTGGGATTGCACAATCTTTCCTAATATAGACTGCAGCCATTGGTGTGGGAGTTCTCAAAATATAGTACAGTGACTACTAGTATCACAATCACCTGGGGAGCTTGTTTAAAATACATTCCTGGGCCTCTGACCTATTGCCAGTTTCCAATTTCCTCTTAAATAAAATGGGGATAATAATAGTACCTACCTGCTATTAACATGCACTGGTACCTAGTATGTAATAAGCACTATGTAAATAAAAGTATCTATTATTGCTGTTATTTTTAATCTAGGCTTATCTGAAAGGAACTTTAGAATTTACTTAATCTTACTTCATTATTCTACAGTTTAGGAAACTGAGACCTATATGAGTTATTTGCCCAAGATCACTTACAGAGTCAGGCCTTTTGTGTTGTTACTTTTTCTCCTTTTAGTGTTATTTTATCTTAATTCAAATTAAATAGTTATCTTATAATGGGGGTATCCAGTATGTAAGGGCAGGGGCTGGGGAAAAAGATTTGCAAATGATTTTGAATTCTAGCATTTTGTTTTTAAATAGCATTTTTCTTTTAAAAAATTTGTACATGCACTTTTATTAGAAAAATACTGCCTTAAATTCTCTTTTTCATAAATCTCTTACATGCACATGAATGTATTTGATTATACCATTTTTGTAGTTGTAAAATATTTACCCTGAGGAAAAGATATACTAGAATAATGATATGTAAATACAAAGAATACAACCTATGGAGTCTGTTCACTGCAAATATTCCAGGTGTAACTGAGACAAAGAACATACACTTTGTAATCCTGAACTAGTTTATTCATGCTGCAAAGCAGTAGATAGATTCAACTTTGCAACCAATCCAAAGTGTTTGTGAAAATCTCTTATCTGGAAAGGGAGTGAAACCTTCTATGCAGCTTTTTAATCCAAAGATAAATTTGAATGTATAGCTGTAGATATCTAATTACTGTTTACTGGAAGATTGAACTACAGGATTTCACTTTGAAAGTCAGGACCAGCCAACCATGGAGAACAAACCTACATATGCTTGAGAGCCATTTTGCATTTGCTTCTTAGTCTTTTGTCAAGAAAGGAGCTGTCTAACATATACCTGCCTACTCACTCCCTCTTCACTTTGGAGGGACTCTACCCATTCATGTGCTATCTCTTTAACCACTGAATATAGTTTAGTTGGTAAAATGCGTGCTTGGTATTTCGGTCCAAGAAAAATTCATTCAGTGTCTGCCATGTGACAAGTCCAAGCCAAGGTATACAGGGTAATATGGTTTCTACCTTTAGGGTACTTGCCACTTATCTCTAAAAATGAAAACTCAGTACCTGAAGCTGTTAGAGACCAGATTGGTTCAAAACGGAGGGATATAGTCCACGAACAAGTGGAATGGAAGGAAGTTCAGAAGAATAAGAGATGAGGATAGGCTAGGTGAATCTAAAGAGAGATAGGGTTTGAATTAGGCCCTGGGTAAATGGAAGAGTCCATGACTCATGAGAGATAACTGTAAGTTGGTGGTTAAGAGTTTGCAGTGCTATATTGCCTGAATTCAAATCCTAGCTCTTCCACCTAGCAGCTGTATAATCTTGAGAAAAATCACTTAATCTTTCTGTGCCTCACGTACTTCAGTTAGTAGCCACTTGATAAGATTGTTGTGAAGATTAAATCAGTTGATACATGTAAAGTGCTTAGACTGGTGCCTGACATCTAGTAAATAATCAGGAAATATTATCTGCAGTAATACTAATAATATAAACTAAGTTTGGAAGAATGAGTAGGAAGAATCATTTGGATTAAGAAAGAAGAACATAAAAATTTGGGTATGTGATACAGCTTGGAAGTGTCAAATGGCTTGGGATATGTGGGAAAGAAGTAATTCAATAAGGCAAGAAGGGGTTGTTTATAGACAGAAGTGAGGAGGGAGAAGGCTGAAAATGTGCATTAGGGCACATTTTTTTGAAGGTATGTCTATGTTCTGCTATAAAGCTTGAACCTTAAACTGTGGGCAGTAAGTATTCATCGCTTCTCTTAAGCAGGAAATTAGCAAGATTAGATTTGCAATTTAGGAAACTAATTTGATAGGTATGACATTTGCTTACTCACTTTGTTCCTATCTTTATGATAATACCATTTTGTTATAATTTCTGTTATTTTGTTTGCTGTCTGAACTACCGTGCTTTTCAAACTATGGTCTTTGAGCATACCTTTGGCTTCCAAGCTAGACCTACTGAATCAGAATCTCTGCAGGTGGGCCAGAGAGTCTGTGTTTTCACAAATTTCCTGTATAACAAGTGATTTCTATGTATCTTAAAATTTAAGAACCACTGGTTTAGTGGAAAGAACATAGGCTTTAGAATACATACAAAACCTGATTCAGTTCCTTATGAGATATACACCATTGGCAAGTTACATAGCCAATTCAAGTCTCAGTTTCCCCATCTGTCAAGTAGAAGTAATACCCCATTGTGGTATTGTGGGAATGAAAAGAAAGAGCATATGTAAAATGACTAAACCATAATAGACCCTCCTATATATTGACTTCCTTTCTAAGCTTATATATGTATCTCATACAACTAATGAGAGAAGGAAACTGTCTTACTCATCTTATCTCCAGTTTCTAACACAGGGCCTACATCTTGTAGGTGTGCAGTAAATATTTTATAAATGTGTAAGTGGATGAACAAATTGTATGGGGAAAAACTGGAAGTTAGGAGACTTGATTAACAGGTTAATGCCATAATCTGTGAGTTAGTGATGACCGGATCTAAACTGAGGCATCGTTCTTGAAAAATGTACAGGCTCCATCCTAGGTTACCAGGCAGATGTGTACATTGTCTCTGGATTGGTTTAGCCTTAACATAAACTCTCACTAGTTAGCCAGTTTCATCTAAAGCAGACACTGAGATGGCAATCCATAGTTTGAAATTCTGTCACTAAAGAAATTAGTAAGCCAGTCCTAAATCCAGCTTTTTAGCTGACTCCCACATACCACTTCTATCCAGATGAAAAAGAATCTTTTCTAAACATCTCCATCAGAAATTCCAGAGACTTACATTCTAGCAAAGCAAGACAATCTCAGTTAGGACTTGGAAGTTACTTGCTACTTGTGAATTCATCTCTGTTTTTATAGTCCTACACAAACTATTTTGAAATTTCTCTGTTTAAAACTGTTGATTACTGGAGTTTACAAAAATAACCAGGTAGTCTAACATTATATTAAAGGCTCAATCTTTGATATAATAAGTAGTAACCTGAAAGAGTGTCATGTCAGATTTGCCATAATCCTTATTTCACTGTTTTTGAGCACCAGCAGATAATGATTTTACAGACAAATCCATTTAGCAGATATGAACTTATAATGCAGATGTATGTGGAACCAAATGCTCATTTGGTGTTCATTTTTTAAAAATCTGCTAAACACCAAGCACTGCTTGGGGGTCAGAATAAAGAGATAAATATGGCAAAGTCTCTTCAGTTTGCTTAAGGTCTGAAAAGAGAAATAGACATATAAATAAATGGTGACAACTCTGCAGAATAATATAAGGCTGGAGGTAAATATCATTCCTTAGCATCTTGCTCTTCTCTAAGGAGAATCCATTGAGAATTAAATGAACTAAACCCATATTTGTTTTTCCCATACAATTCATTCAGCAAGTTGAAACAGATTATTCCTTACACACCCAGGAAAATCATTCCATAACAGTCTGCTACCCTAATTCAAGGATTGTATTTGCACTGTTTGGAAGGAAGAAAATGTAGAGATGGAGAAATACAATAAGCAAGTAGGTTGAAGATAAATTAAATAACAGAAAGAGCTGTATATTAGGTATCAGGAGGTCTGCATTCTAACAAGCTATGTGACTCTGGGAAAATCACTTATACTTTCTGAGTCTCAGTTTCCTCATCTCTGAATAGGGATAAAAGTCCCTTCCTGGCCAGCCTAATTGTTGTGAGTATCACATGTAAAAGTGCTTTGTAAGCTTTGAAATATAAGACTTTAAAGGATTTAAAGTCTTAGGTAAAAATATAGGTAGGAGGATATTCATTAGTACTTAGTACATTTTCCTTTGCAAATACTTACTTAGTTAATGGTAGATTTGGTGAGATAAACAAGGAAATGAGAACTTTTTGCAGAATGGAAACCAAATGAGAACTTTTTGCAGAATGGAACCACAATGATAAGTTAGGCCTAGGGCTAGGGAATTCTTTTTTTTTGAGACAGAGTCTCACTCTGGTCACCCAGACTGGAGTGCAATGGCGCGATCTCATCTCACTGCAACCTCCGCCTCCCAGGCTCAAACAATTCTCCTGCCTTAGCCTCTCAAGTATTGATCGCTGGGATTGCAGGCATGCACCACCATGCCCGGTTAATTTTTGTATTTTTTTCTGGTAGAGACAGGGTTTCTCCATCTTGTCCAGGCTGGTCTTGAACTCCTGGGCTCAAGCAATCTGCCCGCCTTGGCCTCCCAAAGTGCTGGGATTACAGGCGTGAACCACCATGCCTAGCCAGTGAGAATTCGTTTTTATCACATAGATGAGGCCTTCTAAGTCATTGCTGATTTTTCCTTCCAGCCTGGAAACGCTTAGTACATTTCAGAGCAGAGTCCCACCATCTGGTTTTCCATTTGATCCTCACAGTCTGGACTACCCTAATGTAGAGCAAACCTAGAGGCTTGCTCTGGGCCCTCATACAAAAAAAGTACCTTCCTCCTCTATCTGTCCCCACTTTCTGCACTTAGAGTGTGATTACCTAAAGGCAGACTAAGCACTTATGGACACCAACAGAGCAGATTTACCAAATCAATAGATAGACAGTGAAAATAAAAAGAGAAACCTTGCTCATGAATACAAAGAATCAATATCATGAAAATGGCCATACTGCCCAAAGTAATTTATAGATTCAATGCTATCCCCATCTAGCTACCATTGACTTTCTTCACAGAATTAGAAAAAACTACTTTAAGTATCATATGGAACCAAAAAAGAGCCGTTATAGCCAAGACAATCCTAAGCAAAAAGAACAGAGCTGGAGGCATTATACTACCTGAACTTCAAACTATACTACAAGGCTACAGTAACCAAAACAGCATGATACTGGTACGAAAACAGATATATAGACCAATGGAACAGAACAGTGGCCTCAGAAATAACACCACACATGTACAACCATCTAATCTTTGACAAACCTGACAAAAACAAGCAAGGGGAAAGGATTCTTAATAAATAGTGTTGGGAAAACTGGCTAGCCATATGCAGAAAACTGAAACTGGACCCCTTCCTTCCACCTTATACAAAAATTAACTCAAGGTGGATTAAAGACTTAAATGTAAGACTTAAAACCATAAAAACCCTAGAAGAAAACCTAGGCAATACCATTCAGGACATAGGCATGGGCAAAGACTTCATAACTAAAACACCAAAAGCAATGGCAACAAAAGCCAAAACTGACAAATGGGATCTAATTAAACTGAAGAGCTTCTTGCACAGCAAAAGAACCTATCATCAGAATGAACAGGCAACCTACAGAATGGGAGAAAATTTTTGCAATCTGTCCATCTGACAAAGGGCTAATACCAGAATCTACAAAGAACTTAAACAAGTTAACAAGAAAAAAACAGCCCCATCAAAAAGTAGGTGAGGGATATGAACAGACACTTCTCAAAAGAAGACTTTTATGTGGCCAACAAACATGAAAAAAAGCTCGTCATCACTGGTCATTAGAGAAATGCAAATCAACACCACAGTGAGATACCATCTCACGCCAGTTAGAATGGCGATCATTAAAAAGTCAGGGAACAATAGATACTACAGAGGATGTGGAGAAATAGGAACACTTTTACACTGTTGGTGGGAGTGTAAATTAGTTCAACCATTGTGGAAGACAGTGTGGCGATTCCTCAAGGATCTAGAACCAGAAATACCATTTGACCCAGCAGTCTCATTACTGGGTATATACCCAAAGGATTATAAATCATTCTATAAAGACACATGCACACATATGTTTATTGCAGCACTGTCCACAGTAGCCAAGACTTGGAACCAACCCAAATGCCCATCAGTAATAGACTGGATAAAGAAAATATGGCACATATACACCACGGGATATTATGCAGCCATAAAAAAGGATGAGTTCGTGTCCTTTTCAGGGGCATGGATGAAGCTGGAAGCCATCATTCTCAGCAAACTAACAGAGGAACAGAAAACCAAACACCACATGTTCTCACTCATAAGTGGGAGTTGAACAATGAGAACACATGGACACAGGGAGGGGAATATCACACACCGGGGCCTGTTGGGTTGGGTGGGGGGTTAGGGGAGGGATAGCATTAGGAGAAATACCTAATGTAGATGACGGGTTGATGGGTGCAGCAACCCACAATGGCATGTGTATACCTATGTTACAAACCTGCACGTTCTACACAGATCTTAAAGTATAATAATAAAATCTCAGAACTTAAAGTATAAAAATAATTAAAAGTAATTTAAAAAAGATGACACTTGGGTCACTAGTCTCCTGGCTCACTTTACTAATCTGCCTCAACTGCCATCACTAATTAGGGTGAAGAGATGACTACTACCATGGCTGTTACTGCTTTTGCTGTGTTTAAATGCATTTGGAGAGCCTTACATAATTTTTCCCATTTGATGAGCTTATTACTCAATGTATAATCTAGGAAGACAAGAAATTAACTTTCTAGAATTTGGGGACTTTTTAATAGATAAAATATGTCTTCCATATAAAAGAATGTATATAATACATAGGCAGAGTTTAAAATAAAGTAAACACCTATGTACTTGACACTGAGTTAAAAAATAGACTAATAACAATACTTTGGAAACTGCTTTAGTAACCCTCTCAAATATCTTTTTCCTCTACATGTAATCTCTATTCTGACTAGTATATTAAAATTACTCATTTATGTATGTCCTTAAAAAAAAGAGAAACCTTTTTGAAATTTGGTATTTCAGAAATCAAAGTAATCATTGTGAGAAAAATAAGAATGTTGTCAGACTTTTGAAATGTGTTTACAGTTTAAGTATTTTCTTCTGAATTCCATCTGGTGCATAATCCGTGGTTAAGACCTCTAATGTTCTTATTTTTGGCCCTGGGACACTTATCAGAGCCCTGACACATAGGGACTGACTTGAGTGGTGGGGTGTAACAGTCGGTTAGGGACTAATGGAAGGATGCTTCAGAGACCTGAGGCTCATGTTCATGTAATTATTCATGAATCATCCCTTGCTTCCCCCCCTCTACCATTTCCATTTTACCTATAGAAAAATGATGCTATTTAGTGACAGCTGATTTGCCCCAGGTCCTCCCTAAACAGTCCTTAGGGGAAATTCAGCTATTTTCCCTAAAGTCACACATCTAGTTATTGAAAGGATGAAGATTAATATTATTGGGATTATTATTAGGTTAATAGTCATCAATTACATGCCATAGTCCCAGATGCTATGTGATATATTGATTTCATTTCATCCTTCTGTTAATCTAGTTACTGGAGTTTTAAATTTAAATTTTTTTTTTTTTTTTTTTGAGACAGAGTCTCGTTCTGTCACCCAGGCTAGAGTGCAGTGGTGCCATCTCGGCTCACTGCAACCCCCGCCTCCCAGGTTCAAGCAATTCTGCCTCAGCCTCCTGAGCAGCTGGGACTACAGGTGCACACCGCCACACCCGGCTAATTTTTTTGTATTTTAGTAGAGACAGGGTTTCACCATGTTGCCCAGGCTGGTTGTGAACTCCTGAGCTCAGGCAATCCGCCCAACTCGTCCTCCCAAAGTGCTGGGATTACAGGCATGAGCCACTGTGCCTGGCCATTTTTTTTTTAATTTAGAGATAAAATTGATCAGTGTTGGAAGCGGTCAAGGAACTTGCCCAAGGGCACAGAAATTAAGTGGCAGACCTAGAATTCAAAGCAAGGCTGTCTGTATTTGAAAGCCCATGACCTTTTCCCTGTACTGTTCGGCCACCAAGATGAAAGGAGGACTGGAATCCAAGTCATTTGGCTGGAAGATGAATGTCCTGGTCCTAGTACTCCAGGAAGCCCATATTACCAGGCACTTCTTTTGCTTTTTTGATATTTATTTATTTATTGACATTCTCACTCCATTGCCCAAGCTAGAATGCAGTGGTACAGTCACAGCTCACTGCAGCCTCAACTTCCCAGGCTCAAACAATCCTCCCACCTCAGCCACCCAAGTAGCTGGGACCACAAGTGTGTGCCACCACACCCAGCTAATTTTTAAATTTTTTGTAGAGATAGGGTCTCACTGTGTTGCCTAGGCTGTTCTGGAACTCCTGGACTCAAACAGTCCTCCTGCCTCAACCTCCCAAAGTGCTGGGATTACAGACATGAGATGCTGTGCCTGGCCTGCACTTCTTTTGAGTGCCAATTTTAACATTTTTTTAAGCATTGCCCTCATCATTTATACTTTAGATGTGGAAAGATTAAAATATTTTTCTCTCTCTCTTTTTCACTACAGACAGCTTTGTTGTTTAGCCATAAAGTATCAGCACTTCATTCTTTTTATGGTTGAATAATATTCCATTGTATGGATAATACCACATTTTGTTGTTTAGCCATTGGCTTGGTAGCCATCAAGACAGCAGCTTGTATGGCCTCCCTCTATAATTTTGATAATTTTTTTAGGTGAAATTCACATAACAGAAAATTAGCCATTTTAAAGTATACAATTTGGGCCAGGCACAGTGGCTCACGCCTGTAATCCCAGCACTTTGGGAGGCCGAGGTGGGTGGATCACCTGAGGTCAGGAGTTCGAGACCAGCTTGGCCAACATGGTGAAACCCCGTCTCTACTAAAAATGCAAAAAAAATTAGCAGGGTGTGGTGGCTCATGCCTATAATCCCTGCTACTCAGGAGCTGAGGCAAGAGAATCACTTGAACCTGAGAGATGGAGGTTGCAGTGAGCTGAGATTGTGCCATTGCACTCCAGCCTGGGTGACAGAATGAGATTCCATCTCAAATAAATAAAATCAAAAAGTATACAATTCAGGGGTATTTTGTACATTCACAATATTGTACAGCTGTCACATCTGTCTAGTTCCAAAACATTTTTATCACCCCCCTACCCATTAGGCAGTCACTCTCCATCCCCACACACTTACACATAGCCCCTGACAACACTCATTTTCTTTCTGTCTTGAGGGATTTGCATGTTCTAGATATTTCTTATAAATGGAATCATACAATATATGACTTTTTTGTCTGACTTCTTGCACTTAATGTCTTCAAGCTTCATCCATGTTGTAGCATGTATCAGTAATTCATTCTTTTTGTGGTTAAATAATATTCCATTGTATGGATATACCACATTTTGTTTATGTATTCATCTGTAGCTGGACATTCAGATTGTTTCCACATTTTGGCTATTGTGAATAATGATGCAGTGAACATTCATGTGTTAACAATCTCTTTTAGTTCCTGTTTTCAGATCTTTGGGGCATATTCCTAGAAGTACAGTTGTTGGGTCATATGGTAATTCTATGTTTAACTTTTTGAGGAACCAAAAAGGAACCTTCTAGAGAGGCTGCACCATTTTACATTCCAGCCAGCAATGTACAAGGGTTCCAATTTCTGTATATCTTCACCAGTGCTTATTTTCCCTTTAAAAAACAAAAGTCATCCTGGTATAAAGGTGGTATCTTGTTTGTGGTTTTGATTTGCATTTCGTTAATGACTAATGTAGAACTACTTTTATGTCCTTAGCCATTAATATATCTTCTTTGGAGAAATCTCTAATTCTGACACTTTGAAAATATGTGGTAGTATGTAAATATCTTGTTTTGTAAGCAGGATTATCAGAATGTCCTATGACCTGAGAAATTTTCAAAAATAAGATCTGAAATATCTGAATTTTAATTCTATCCTGATTAGACCATAACCTGGGGAAAATTTTTTAAAAACCTTTCACTGCTCAAATCACTAAAGAAGAAATTGAGACAAGTTCTTACCTTTTTTCTTTTTTAAGACAGGGTTTCACACTATTGCCCAGGCTAGAAGGCAGTGACATGATGGTAGCTCACTGTAACCTCGAACTCCTGGGCTCAAACAGCCTCCCACCTCAGCTTCCTGAGTAGCTAGGACTACAGGCTAATTTTTAAATTATTTTTTATGGGTCTCGCCATGTTATCCAGGCTGATCTTGAACTCCTGGCCTCAAGGAATCCTCCGACTTTGGCCCCCAAAAAACACTGGGATTACAGGCATGAGCCACTGTACCTGGCAGATTCTTAACATCTTCCTAGTGCCTAACTAGTCCCCGTAAAAATGTTTTCATTACTGAAATCTCTGCTTCCTCTGTTCTCACACCAGCCAGGTACTAACTTAGAAAATGTAATTATCAATTTAGCTTTGGGGGCAGATTTTGAAAACTTGACTTTAAATTATCAAATATCTGAGTTACTTTACTTTTATTCTTTTTGACATCACTGTGTCTACAAATTTGGCAGGGGCTTGCTTGTCTATTTTAGTGACTCAGGAGGTCAGTTAGTTTTCCTTGCAGTTTAATTCAGTGCACATCTGTTGAATACCTACTAAGTGCCCTGCCCTGTGTCCAGTATGAAAAGAAATATGTCATGCATGTAGATTATGTTACAAAAGGTAGTAGTCCTGGAATAACCTGACACTCCACACAAAAGGATAATTTTCCTCGGTAGAGCTATTTTCCCATTCCCATTCCCATTCCTCCCTATTATCATTTCTTCCAGCCGTCTTTTAAATGTCAGAACTTAAGATAGAGGTAATGGCAGTAATGGCAGGAAGAAGAAGGTAAAGCAAGAACATTTACCTCGCAAAGGCTATTGACACTTTTGAGATCCATGAGTTTCTACAGCAGGTACCTTAGCTTTTTTTCCTTTTTTCTCTTGTTGTATATATGGTCACTTCTTTTCTTTCCTCTTTTCTGTCATCTGTCCCTCAACATATGTGAGGATTAAATAAGATAATAATGTGTAAAATAATTAGAAGGGTATGTATAGTAAGCATTCACTACCAAGCATCAACCATACATTAACTTACGCTGAAAATTCAGAGGTTAATAAAAGTGTCCCAGCTAAGTACTCACAGTCTAGTGAGAGACAAATATGTAAATATATAATTATAATAATACAGTGTGAATATAGTACAGAAGTGAAGCTACTCAATCCAGGATTTGGGGAGGAGGGAGTACCTGTGATTGCTTAGAGCGGACACTTAGGTTGGGCCTGAAAGATGAATGTGATTTTGCCTGAAGGAGAAGGGGTGGAGAGTATTCCAGGCCAAGGATAAAGGATGGACAAAGGCAGAGAGTCACCAAAAGTCTAGTCTGTGAGAATTGTGAGAGGGCTTGTTTGGGTCAAGCGTAGAGTATGTGGAAGGGGAAAGCAGACAGTGAAGCTGATAAAAGTATCTAAGGCCAGCTATGTTAAGATTAGGTGTTCATTAGAGTCATTACCTGAAACAAAGCTGAAATACCAAGTGGTTCAGAATGTAAAGTTCTATATATAAGCCTCTAAGACAGGTGGGTTTTTTGTGTCTATAATTAGAAATTATTCCTCCACTTGTCCTAGATACCTAGAAACCTGTCCATTATTCCTTTGCCCTCATATGCTTAATCAAATCATTTTTATCTGTGGTGCAAAATCCTTTTCAAGACTTTCTACTATTGGCACATGTAAAGGCTGCTCTGAGACCTTTGACTTTAAATCTTTCACACTAGTGTCAGAACTAAATTATAGCTTCTGATTTTTTTGTAATGAACAGATTAGTTACTCTTTCCATTTGACCTTTCCTTTTCCTGAAGCTCTCCCTAGATTTTCTAAACTTTAAATCCCATTAGGATTTTATTCCCTGCTTAGTGAAAGTTGAAAGTTTAGAAGGCTGAAACCAACATTTATATTGATTTTAAAGGTCAGCAAAGTTTTTCTATAAAGGGCTAGATAGTAAATATTTTTGGCCTTGGGGACCATATACTTTCTGTCACAGCTACTTAACTCTGTCATTGTAGCACAAAAGCAGCCATAAACAATATGCAAATGAATGAATATAGCCATGTTTCAATAAAGTTTTATTTACAAAAACAGGCCACAAATCAGTTTTGGCCCAAAGACCATACATAGTTTACTAACCTGTGATTGAAAGTAAGCATTTTTCTATTGTCTTATCTGTCTCCTTTCAGGAAGGAATCCTGACCAGAGAAGTATCCACAGAACATAGTATTCAGCTTTTATCAGTGACCATTATATCATCTCTTTGTTACACTCACATACACACACCCCCAAAATTCTCTAGACCATTTAGCTGGATATACCACATAACAAGGCTGCCATTTTGGAGAGGAATAGGTGTTTGGCTGTCTCTCTCTATTGCCTTTCTCAGAATGTATGCTCTCAGTGAACATGTTCCTGTGTAAGGAATTTCCATGTCCATTTGGGAACCTATTGTGAGGTGTCTGTTCAAAAGCCCAGGTCTTGTCTTCCAAACTCCTGACTGGCTGCTAAAGGATTAGGTCCCAGTTCTGGTATTTAACCATTCTTCTCCCCCAGTGTGGATTAACTTCCCCCATTCATGTCTTTCCTGAAAGCAAAAATAACATCCCAACCACTCTTCAGCAGTGTTAGATATATTACCTTAATCAAAATATTCTTGCTTTCTATAAGATCAGTAAGATCCCCCACTCAGAAGACTTCTACAGTCTTACAAGCAGTGCTTTTCAAAATTTAATCTGCATATGATAGGAGTCACCTGGAGGTCTTATTAAAGTTCATATTTCTGATGCAGTTATTCTGAAGTGTGGGGCCCAAGATTCTCCTTTTGTGACAAGCTCCAAATTGATTTCAATACTGCTTGTCCTTGGACCATACTTTGGTTAACAAGGTTCTAAGTACTATTTCTATTACTATAACCTAGTCATCCAGGGTCTTATCATTGGATCAGCAGCATTAAGAATCAGGGCTGGTATTCTATAGGTGAGGTGGCTTCAGTGATCTAGTCCTTGACTATGATGAGGACAACCAATTTATTTGTTTATTCAGTTTAGGAGTTTCTTTAAAACTGGGTGTTACCATTTGAAATTGATGTTGGGTACTTGTCTTTCATCTATACTAGAAAATTCAAAAACATGATCTCTTTAGGTATGGTTCATCCACTGTATTCTCTTCTAGACTTCCTAGTAGATGCATATTAGATACTCTTGACTGTGTCTTCCATGTCTCTTAACTTCTCTTTCATATTTTATTTTTCTGTATCTCTGTGTTGCAATTTAGATAATTTCTTGAGATTACTCACATTTCATTAATTCTCCCTTTACCTATGTCCAAGCTACTGTTTCATTGAAATTGATGTTGGGTACTTGTCTTTCATCTATACTAGAAAATTCAAAAACATGATCTCTTTAGGTATTGCTTAATCCACTGTATTCTCTTCTTTTAGGCTTCCTAGTAGATGCATATTGGATACTCTTGACTGTATCTTCCACATCTCTTAACTTCTCTGTCATATTTTATTTCTCTGTATCTTTCTGTGTTGCAATTTAGATAACTTCTTGAGATTACTCACATTTCATTAATTCTCCCTTTACCTATGTCCAAGCTACTGTGTCATCCATCTATTAATTTTTTGCAGTATTAATCATTTATTTTCTAAATGTATATTGAGGTACAATTGATATACAATAAACCACACCTATGTAAAGTATATAATTTGACAAGTTTTGACATATGTATACACCCATGAAATCCTTACCACAATCAAAATAGTGAACTATCACTCTCAAGGGCTTCCTCTTGTACCTTTGTCATCCCTCTTTGCTGTCTCTGTCTGTCAAGCCAAGTCCCACATATCCACTGAACTTTCTGTCAGCATAGATTTGTTTGCGTTTTCTAGAATTTTATTAAAAATTAAACCATATGGTATATACTCATTAGTCTGGCTACTTTCATTCAGTGTAATTATTTTGAGATTCTCCACATTGTTGCATATATCAATAATTCATTCCTTTTACTTGCTGAATAGTATTCCACCACATGGATATACCACCATGTTACTTTTTTTTTTGTTTTGGTTTTAGCAATTTTTTTTTTTTTTTTAAAGAGACAGGGAATCACTCTGTTGCCCAGGCTGGAATGCAGTGGTGCAGTCATACCTCACTGCAGCCTCAAACTCTTGGGCCCAAGTGAGTCTCCTCAGGCTCCTATAGCTGGGACTACAGACACACACTACTACACCCAGCTAATTGTTTTAAATTTTTGGTAGAGTCAGGGGTCTTGCTGTGTTGCCTAGGCTGTTCTCAAACTCTTAGCCTCAAGCAATTCTACCTTTGCCTCCCAAAGTGCTGAGATTACAGGTGTGAGCTGCTGCACCTGGCCCATTAACAATATCTATACAATTTTTTATGGAAATGGAATTTACATAAGATACAGTTAACCACTGTAGTGTATACAATTCAGTGGCATTTACTGTATTTGCAATATTGCACAACTACCATTTAGCAATTATTAACAGTGTTAATAGGATAATTTAACCTTTATATTTAAAAATTTTGCATAACTGCCTTTTTAAAAATAAGAGCAAGGTGCAGTGGCTCATACCTGTAATCCCAGCTACTCAGGAGGCTAAAGCAGGAGGACTGCTTGAGGCCAGGAGTTTGAGACCAGCCTGAACAACATAGCGAGACCCCATCTCTAAAAACATTTTTAATATAATAATTAGAATAATTAGCCTGACATGGTGGTGCACACCTGTAATCCAAGCTCCTCAGAGGCTGAGGCAGGAAAAAAAAATCACTTGAGCCCAGGAGTTTAAAACTGCAGTGAGCTATGGTCATGCCACTGCACTGCAGCCTGAGTGACAGAGTGAGACCCTGTTTCTTTAAATTAGAAAAAAAAAGTTTAAAAACACAGCAAAATAGCTCAAATACAATATATTGTATTTTTCTTTCTGAGTAGCCCATCATGCACACATACACCTAAGAAAGCTTGAATATTCAGCTATACTAAAATACAGTATTCCAACAGACCCCAACACTTTATTATTAGCTAACCTGGATCTTAAAACAGGCTGCTGACATATACGGCAAGTCCAGCCTCCAGCAGCCACTGAGCACTATGATATGGTTATACAATTTATACTTGTGAGTCAACTGCCTGACCTTAGTTCCTGTCAAACAGTCAATGAAACCAATACTGTACTTTTACCTAATTCACTCGGAATGCTCATGTGCCCCCAGTCTCCAGTGAAAAGACTGTCAGTCTTTGATACAACCCTGTATGTGACCATCATAATTTTTGCTAATAAAATCAAGCGGGCTAAGCTATGAATGGGTAGTTTCAGTTCTCACTAAATTGTTTCTTCTCTCCATATCCTGTTTTAGGAGTGAGGCTGAGCAGTCTCATGTAACCTTGCATTTCCTTGCTGTCTTCTTGGGTTTTAAGAGTCTGCCTTGTGTTGCTGACCCTAAGTCACTCAGTTCTAAGCACACTCTTCCTTTGAGTCTCTAACTGAGAGTTGGTCTTTATTAGAGAACTCAGTTCTCCAAACCCAGTTATGATTGGCTTAAAGTTGATGTGAAAGCCACTGATAAAGGGCTTATTATGCCTATTTTTTGAAATCTTATGATGATAAATAGTTACATTACAACAGAGGTTACCACACCTGTCTGCTCTGTACAATAAAAGCCACTACTGCTGCTTTCTATAGTGTTTATATTTTTCACAATTTTTTGAATGTTCACCTGTTGATGGATATTTGGATTATTTCCTAGTTTTTGGCTATTACAAATAAAGCTGCTATGAACATTTGTGTACACATTTTATATAGGCATATGGTAATATGGTCATTTGTCTTGGGTAACTACTTACTTAAGACTGGAATGACTGGATCATACATACAGTAGATAGATGCATAACTTTCTAACAAACTGCCGAAGTGTTTTCCAAAGTAGTTTTACCATTTTACGTTCCCAACAGCAGTGTATAAGAGAGTTCCAGTGCCTCCACATCCTCATCAACATTTTGTATAGTTAGTCTTTTCTTTTTTTTTTTTTTTGAGACGGAGTCTTGCTCTGTCACCCAGGCTGGAGTGCAGTGGTGCAATCTCGGCTCACTGCAGTCTCCACCTCTTGGGTTCATGCCATTCTCCTGCCTCAGCCTCCCGAGTAGCTGGGATTACAGGTGCCTGCCACCACGCCCAGCTAAATTTTTGTATTTTTAGTAGAGACAGGGTTTCACCATATTAGCCAGGATGGTCTTGACCTGACCTCGTGATCCGCCTGCCTTGGCCTTCCAAAGTGCTGAGATTACAGGCGTGAGCCACTGCGCCTGGCCTGGTTAGTCTTTTAAACTGAGACATTCTAATAGGTGTGTAGTAGTGTCTCACTGTGGTTTTAGTTTGCATTTTCTTGACGATTAATGAGACAGCATTTATTTTTCGACATGCTTATTTGCTGTCTATGTGTCTTTTGATGAAGTGTCTGCAAATCTTTTCTCCATTTTAAAATTGGGGTCCTTTTATTTTTGTATTTTGAAAGTTCTTTATGTGTTTTAGATACAAGTCTTTTACTTGAAATGTGATTTGCAAAGATTTTTCTCTCAGTCTATGGTTTTGTCACTATGACTTTCTTTTTCATAAATACCAACTTATTTCAATGTACTCTGCAGTGAATATTTTGCATTTAGTAGTAGAATTATAGTTTTATTGAGGGAACATAATATACAGAGATTTTATTGTTGCTACTATTCAAAAATATTTCTTACTATATCACGATAATTCACTAGAATAAATATTAGATAGCATTTCCCTGGTCAAGAAATGTTTTATAACTCTTAAGTCTACTGTTAGATGAACAGCTTATAATTGTAGTAATAATATTTGTCTTCTACATACCTCACATTTAATTTTTAACTTTGATTTTTAATTTTTTTATTTTTACTTTTATGGATACATAATAGTTGTACATATTTATGGGGTACACATGATACTTTAACATAGGCACACTCAATATCATTTTCAATTGTCTTTAGGAGAAAATAAGTTTAAAATTTTGATGAAGTCCAATTTAAATATTTTTTCTTTTATGTATCATGCTTTTGGGTCATATTTGCCTAACCTAAGGTCACTATTTTCTCCTATGTTTCCTTTATAAGTATTATAGCTTTAGACTTCACATTTGGTCTATGATCCACTTCAGTTAAATTTTGTATATAGTGTGATGTATGTATTGAAGTTATTTTTTTCAGAGTCAGGAAGAGATGGATATCCAGTAGTTCTAGTGCTATTTGTTTAAAAGGTTTTCCTTTTTCCACTACATTGCCTCTGCACCTTTGTCAAACGTATGTGTTGATCATATATGCATAGGTCTATATCTGGACTTTATTTTTTTTCCATTTTTTTTCTGTCTTTACAACAGTACCATACAGAATTACTATTACTTCAGCTTTGTAATAAATCTTGAAATCAAGTAGTATAAGTCCTCTAATTTAGTTATTTTATTTTTTATCCATAATTCTTTTGGCTATTGTAGGTCCTGTGCATTTCCACATGAATTTTACAATCAGCTAACCAAAAAAATTTTTGGTGGTATTTTGATTGGAATTATGTTGAATCTGTAGATAATTTGGAGAGAACTGACATAAAAATATTGATTTGTCTAATCCACAAGAATGACTTATTTATCTCTCCATTTATTTATGTCTTTAATTTCTCTCAGCAGTGTTTTATGATGTTCGACATACAGATTGTTTGCATCTTTTGTTAAATCTATCCCCAAGTATTTCATATATTTTATGCTATTATAAATGATATTTTTAAACTGTAAGTTCTGAGTATTTGTTGCCAGTATATAGAAATATAGGCTGGTCCAAATGCAGTGGTGTTTACAGCTAATTGACCACAACCAGTAACAAATTTCTTTGTTCTTTCTCCACTCCCACTGCGTCACTTGACTAGAAAAAAGAAAGAAAGAAAGAAGGGAGGAAGGGGAGGGAAGGGGAAGGGGTTGCTTGTTATTTATTTTATATTCTGCAACCTTACTAAACTCACTTACTAGTTATAATAGCTTTTTGGTAGAATCCTTAGAATTTTCCACATTTCTAATCATTTTATCTGTGGATAAAGAGAGTTCTACTTCCTTTTCATTGTAGATGCCTTTTATTAATTTTTCTTGCCTTATCAGATTTGAAAATCAGTCAGTGTAATTTATGATATAATCATCTCAGTGGATGCAGAGACGGCATCAGACAAAAGCTAATTTATTCCTGATAAGAATTTCCAGTAAAATAGGAATCGAGTAAAATGTCCTTAGCCTGATAAAGAGGGCATCTATTTAAAAAAAAAAAAAAAAAAAACCCTACAGCTAACATCTTACCTACTGGGGAAAGATCAAATGTTTTCCTGCTAAGATCAGGAAAAAGGGAGGGATATCTGTTCATATCACTTCTATTCACCATTGAATTGGCAGTTCTAGCCAGTCTAATAAGCAATAACTCCCCATTCTCCTTCCCCTCAGACTCTGGCAACCTCTAATCTACTTTCTGTCTCTAGGAGTTTGCCTATTCTAGGTACCTTATGTAAGTGGAAACACAATGTTGATCCTTTCACATTTGAAGCACAATGTCCTTAAGGTCCATCTATGTTATAGTAGATATAAGAATTTAAAATCTTTTTATAGCTAAATAATATTCC
Source organism: Homo sapiens (assembly GCF_000001405.40). Classification (NCBI taxonomy): domain Eukaryota; kingdom Metazoa; phylum Chordata; class Mammalia; order Primates; family Hominidae; genus Homo; species Homo sapiens. The sequence goes on along the minus strand of NC_000001.11, from coordinate 50,499,026 downwards.
ACTGTAGGTATATACCATATTTTGTGTATCCATTCATCTGTTGAACAGTTGGATTATTTCCACCTTTTGGCTATTGTAAATAATGCTACTATGAACATGCCTGTACTGGCCATTTATACATCTTCTCTGGAAAATGTCTATTCAAGTCCTTTGACTTTTTTCTTTTTTTTTTTTTTTGAGACAGAGGTTCGCTCTGTCGCCCATGCTGGAGTGCAGTGGCACGATCTCGGTTCACTGCAACCTCCGCCTCCCGAGTTCAAGCAATTCTTCTGCCTCAGCTTCCTGAGTAGCTGGGATTATAGGCATGCGCCCCCACACCCAGGTAATTTTTGTATTTTTAGTGGAGATGGGGTTTCACCATATTGGTCAGGCTGGTCTCGAACTCCTGACCTCAGGTGATCCACCCACCTTGGCCTCCCGAAGTGCTGGGATTACAGTTGTCCCAGCCTTTGACCATTTTTTAATTAGCTTGTTTAGTTTCTTTGTTGTTTAGTTGTTGGAGTTTATTATATATTCTGGATAGTAATCCTTTATCAGACATCACGTGCAAATATTTTCTTCCATTCTGTGGATTATCTTTCCACTCTCTTGAGTGAAAAAGGTTTAATTTTGATGAAGTGTAATTTCTCTGTTTTTTTCTTTTTATGCTTTCAATGACGTACTAAAGAAATCATTGCCTAATCCATGGTCATGAAGATTTTCACCTATGTTTTTATCTAAGAATGTTATGGTTTTAGCTCTTAAATTTGAGTCTTTGATTCATTTTAAGCTTTTTTTTTAATATGAGGTATGATGAGGGTCCAGCTTTATTCTTTTGCATGTGGATATCCAGCTTTCCTAACATCATTTGTTGAGGAGACTGTTCTTTCCTCATTGAATGGTCTTGCCACCCTTGTTGAAGATCAATCCAACATATATGTGAGGATTTCTTTCTGGGCTTTCTGTTCTATTTCATTTTTCTATATGTCTATCATTATGCCACTACCACGGTTTCAATTACTGTAGCTTTATAGTAAGTTTTGAAATCAGGAAAAGTGACTCTTTCAACTTTGTTACTTTTGAAGATTGTTTTGATTATTAGGGGTCCCTTGAGATTCTGTATGCATTTTATGATGGGTTTTTCTGTTTCTGTAAAAAATGGCATTGAGATACAGTCAATTGTTTCTTAAAGAGTTTTGAGCCCGGGCGCGGTGGCACACACCTGTAATCCCAGCACTTTGGGAGGCCGAGGCAGGTGGATCACGAGCCCAGGAGTTCAAGACCAGCCTGGCCAAGATGGTGAAACCCCGTCTCTACTAAAAATACAAAATATTAGCCGGGCATGGTGGCATGCACCTGTAATCCCAGCTACTCCAGAGACTGAGGCAGAGAATTGCTTAAACCTGGGGGGGTGGAGGTTGCAATGAGCCGAGATCACACCACTGCACTCCAGCCTGGGTGACAGAGTGAGACTCCGTCACAAAAAAAAAAAAAAAAAAAAAAAAAAGAGTTTTGAATAATAAAGTCTATTAATTTACCTATGAAGCTCCCATTTCTAGTTTTGTTTATTCCCTTGTCTAGACACAAAGCCATTCCTTTATGGTATCCTTTTCCTTTTACCTGAAAGACTTCCTTTAACTTTTACTGTAATACATATACTATTGATGAATTTTTTCAGGTTTTATATGTTTGAAAAGTATTTTACCTTCAGTTTTGAAAAATATTTTCACTGGGTATAGAATTCTGGGGTTGATGGTTGTTTTTGTTTTTTGTTTTATTTCTTTCAGTACTTTAGAGATGTTGCCCAATTGTCTTCTCAGTTGCACTGTTTCTGATGAAAAGTCGGCTGTCATTGTTTCCTGTACATATTATGTCTTTTCTTTTCTCCAGCTGCTTTTCAGATTTTTTTTTATTATTAACTTTAAGTAATTTGGTTATGATGTGCCTTGGTGTAGTTTCTTCATGTTTCTTTTGCTTAATGTTTGTTAAGATTCTTGAATCAGTGGCTTTCTCATTTTCATCAAATTTGAAAAAATTTCAATGATTATTTCTTAAAGTAACTTTTCTTCACCTCACCCCCACACCTCATTCCCAGACTCCAACTTCACTTACATTAGGCTGCAAAAGTTATCCCAGAGATAACTTTTTTTTTTTTTTTGAGATGGAGTTTGACTCTTGTTGCCCAGACTGGAGTACAATGGTGCAATCTCAGCTCACTGCAACCTCTTCCTCCCAGGTTCAAGCAATTATCCTGCCTCAGCCTCCCAAGGAGCTGGGATTACGGGCATGTGCCACCATGCCCGGCTGATTTTTTTGTATTTAGTAGACATGTTTCACCATGTAGGTCAGGCTGGTCTCAAACTCCTGACTTCAGGTGATCCACCTGCCTTGGCCTCCCAGGTGCTAGGATTACAGGCATGAGCCACTGTGCTTGGTCCCCAGAGATAACTTTTACACCTCCTCACCTTGCTTAAGTCCAAAATGAGATCTCTGGTCACAGTGGGGCTTCTGGATTATCAAGATGGATAACCTACCTTGTCAGGTTCTGAATTACTTCATCATTTACATCTCTCACTTTCAGTTTCCTCTTTATTTCTGGTACCTAGAAACTTCTCTTTCTTTATTTCTTTCTTTCTGACATGCTTAGTAATGCTTTTGAACATACTTGTTATGTTTTACCTACTATCTCTAAGTATTTATATTGAGAGAACTTCAGGTTATCTTGGTCTGTATCTCTAGAGATAGATAGCAGGGCCATGTCTCTGATGACAAGGACCTATTGGTAGAGCAAGGAGCAGGGTATTCATTCCAACCTGGGCATTCAGAAAAACCAATAAGTGTTCTATGTGTGTATGCATTTGGTAAGTATTTGAAAAAAGTCTATAGCCACTTCAGTTTAATAATTTGGAATTTTGAATTAGTCTTTTAGGAGTTAACTGATGATTACTAATCTTTAACACTACTGAGGGTGTCATAAATTACATCTAAATTTCTTTTTTTTTGGTTAAATTCTTACTGTGGGAACCATTTGGCAACTCATAAAATATTTTATTTTTAATAGTCATCATTTTCAGTGAATTGTAATAAAATTCAATGGCTATTGTCTCGGAGATAGAGGACTATGCTGAACTACGTAGTGTGCCACAGTGGGGAAAAACCAGGCTTTATGGTGAGAATGACTGTGTTTAAATTCTGATTCTGATACAGATCAGAACTACAGTAAGATATCATCTCACCTCAGTTAAAATGGCTTTTATCCCAAAGACAGGGAATAACAAATGCTGGAGAGGATGTGGAGAAAAGGGAACCCTTGTACACTGTTATTGGGAATGTAAATTAGTACAATCACCATGGAGAACAGTGTAGAGGTTCCTTTAAAAACTAAAAATAGAGCTACCATATGATCCAGCAATCCCACTGCTGGGTATATACCCAAAAGGAGGGAAATCAGTATATCAAAGAGATATCTGTACTAACATATTTGTTGCAGCATTGTTCACAGTAGCCAAGATTTGGAAGCAACCTAAATGTCCATCAATAGGCAAATGGATAAAGAAAACATGGTACATGTACACAAGAGTACTACTCAGCTACAAAAAAGAATTAGATCCTGTGATTTGCAACAACATGGATGGAATTGGAGGCCATTATGTTAAGTGAAATAAGTGAGGCACAGAACTACAAACGTCACATGTTCTCACTTAATTTGTAGAATGTAAAAATCAAAACAATTAAACACATGGAGATAGAGAGTAGAAGGATGATTACCAGAGGCTAGGGAGGGCAGTGGGGTGTGGGGGAAGGTGGAGTGGTTAATAGGTACAAAAAATATGGAAAGAGTGAATAACACTGGCCTTTGATAGCACAACAGGATGACTATAGTAAAAATCATTGTACATTTAAAAATAACACAAAGATTTTAACTGGATTGTTTGTAACACAAAGGATAAGTGCTTGAGGGGACGGACACCCCACTTTCCATGAAGTAATTAATACCCATTGCATGCCTCTATCAAAATATCTCCCATATCCCATAAATATGTAGACCTACTATGTACTCAAAAAAAATTTTTTTAACTAAAAATAAGTAAATTATAATTCTAACACTTCTTAACAACTCATCATAATACTCAGGACAGAAAATATATTTAAATAAAAGTTACTAGACTGAAGAATACTTAGAGGCTTCTGAATTTCTAGTATATAACTGTTGAGCACTGATAATTCCATTTATTCATCCAATAAATATATACTTCAGATGCTTGTCATATGTAAGATAGTATGCTAGATGCTATAGGAAATACGAAGACATATGAAATAGAGTCTTTTACCCCTGGGAGTGTACAGCTCAGGTAGGGACCAGTGAGACAAATACACAAATGAGTGTAGCACAGCGCAATATGAGAGCAGTGACAAGTATGTTACAAAGAAAGCTGCCTACTGGGGCTATTACTTACTTCTGAGCAATCCAGCTTCTCACTTTGGTGTGGCAAGGAGTGTTTGAATGACAAGTAGCCCAAGCCATAGCCTAGGCAACACGTAAGACCTGTTTCTGAATCTCATAATCCAGTTGTTCTACCTCCACCCAATCGATGTGTAAAAATTTCTAGTTACTTTGATGTGTCCTCTTAGATTTAGCAAAGGGAACCTCTACAAGGACAGTATTTGTAGAATACAAGAGAAGTTCCAGAGGCACATCTACAGGTTATGAGAACAAATTTATACATGAAGTGTTAACCACAATACCTGGGATTTTCTAAAAAATCTGATAATATAGAATAATATGGGGGAAACACATAAGCAGTTTTCTCTCTCAAAATTGGAGATGACTCTGAAGAGGACAGTTGGAGAGGCAAGTATAAAATCTGAGGAACAGATAAGAAGAAATGATAACCATTCACCAACAACTACCAAACATACAAGAAGCTATGACCATGATAAATTTGGGAAAATTCATCCTGAGCCACATGCCCAAGCCAGCCCATCTGTCAGGATGGTCAGAGAGAGCTGTGAGTAAGGGAAAGAACACACAACAGGTGCCAAGATCCCTGTATTTGATGGCCTTTCATATCTCCTACAGTCTGTTTTACAACAGAGCTGTTTACCCTCTTTTATTATAAACTGTATTTGTGATCATAGGGCTTCCAGCTGTGATTGCTTTTAGAAGGTCCGTTTTTTACGTGTACATAGTGGCATAACAAGTCATTCCTGCCCAGCCAGTCAATTTCAGGCTCAGATTGGGCCAGCCATTTTGTGGATGAGCTATGTCTTTTTCTTTAATTGTTGCTGTAAACAATAAGTATTTTATGCCTGGAAAGATAATTTATTTAACATATGCTTATTAAACACCTCCCAAAACTAGGCAGTATGTGGAATACAGAGATATATAATATAGACAAGTTCCCTGCCTTTGTGGAGCTTACAGTGTCATGGGGTAGTTTAGCATTAAATAAATAATTATGTGATAATTAATTACAATTATGGTAAGTGCTTTAAAGGGAAAGTACAGAATGTTGTGAGAAACTTTAATTTGAAAGGATGAAGTCAGGAAAGTAAGGTCAAATTAAAATTTTAAACATCTTGTGCATTTCCCCCATTTAAAATATAGAAAGGTAAGATTACTCTCATAGTTGGTTGATTACATTCAAGAGATATCTAAATTTGAAAAGATAGACTTATCCACAGAGGCATAGGATTCTTAGGAGTTTAATCCTTGGCTAGGTGTGGTGGCTCATGCCTGTAATCCTAGCACTTTGGAAGGCCAAGGCAGGCAGATCACTTGAGGTCAGGAGTTCGAGACCAGCCTGGCTAATATGGTGAAACCCCATCTCTACTAAAAATACAAAAATTAGCTGGGCGTGATGTCGGGTGCGTGTAATCCCAGCTACTCGGGAGGCTGAGGCAGGAGAATCACTTGAACCCAGGAGGCTGAAGGTGCAGTGAGTGGAGATCGTACCACTGCCCTCCAGCCTGGGTGACAGAGCAAGACTCCCCCTCAAAAAAAAAAAAAAAAGAAGTTTAATCCTTTAATCGATGACTGAAAGGGTAGACATTATCAGGTTTAACATGATTTTTCATATTTTGTAGTATAACAATTACCTTCAGGCCAGCAACATCTAATTCTTTCTAATTTTTATTTGAAAGATTAGGAAGCAATGAAATGTTCCTATTCATACCAGAGCTTTTAGGAATTAGTTGAATTATTGGAACTAGAAGATGTATTAGGCTTCAGGAATAAGGCCAGTCTTGATTAGCTATCTCACCTAAGAGAATGCTGAGCATATATTCAGCCTTGAGTAAGCATATATTGGGGAGACAAAAAAGTGAGAAATTAACTATATGAAATTTCCAGTTTTATAGGTCACAAATATTGGTGGCTTTATATGGTTCTGCCTAATAAATAAATGACCAAAAAGGGAACCTACACTCTAGTGTAGACAGGTGTGGGTATTTATTATTAAAGCTAAGTATATGTATATTGGCTATACTTCTGAATATAACAAATGGGAAATTCTGTTCATGAATTAACTTTTAATTTTAAATGAATTCGTGATTTAAATATGGGCAGATGGTATAATCATTTCAGAAGCTAAAAATATTCTAAGAGATTTTCAACTTAGATAACTTTTGTTATTCACACTTCATGAGTGTGAATGTAATGGGGAAATACTAAATTGGTAACCAGAGCTTTAGTGGTGTGGTGTGGTGTGGTATGGAATGAGGTTAACCAGAGTATTTTGCTTTTGGCCTCTTTCTACACTGACCCAGGGATTACTTCCTAGTCTTTGTTCTCCCTCCCAGTCCTTAGTTCCAATACTGACAGTCTCCAAGTTTATCTCAGAAAAATCAGGAGAAAAGGAGAAGAGAACTAATAATGAAAATGAACTAAGTGCCAGGTCCTTTGCTAGATAGTTTGTATATTATTGCACTTAATTCTCACAGTGACCCTATAAGACAAATATTATTTCTGTTTTGCAAGTGAGGAAACTGAGACCTGGAGAAGTTAAATAACTTATACAAGGTCACACAGTTTGTAGAGTTAGGATTCAAACATTCTTATTTCCACTATGTACCATGCTGCTCATCTTATTGTTTGTTTGCTTATTTATGTCCTATACACTTTAAAAGTCTCTTATTTAATTATAAGTTCATATAGGAATAAAAAAGGGATTACCATTAGTTTTTTTTCTCTTTTTTTTCAAAAAAAAGTTATATGTCAAAAAATATTTGAATCTTTTTCTTTAAGGATGAACGTGAAGCCAGAGAAAATGTGAAGAGAGAGCAAGATGAGGCCTATCGCCTTTCACTTGAGGCTGACAGAGCAAAGGTAGGCTTGGTCAAGTACTTCTGGGATAAAGAACTCAATTGTTCATTATTTAAATGCCAACCTTTATCACTTTGATCCCTAAAAATACTGGGTTTGCAATAGAGAAAGCTAGATTTAGTTAACAGAAAGAATATAATCCTATCCATGGTTATTAAAGCATGGTTCATTTTGACAAAATAAAGTTTGTTTCATGAAAAATGAGAACAAAGATGAACCTAGTATCTATCTCATTTGTTTCTTAGTTGGTCTATGATAGAAACCAGCAATTTTTGGAAAGCTCTTTAGGTGATTCTCATGTGCAGTCAGGGTTGGGAACTATTGATTTATTGAATACTACTTAAGCACCTGCTTCTGTGTTGAGCTTTGAAGGAGAGAGAAGTGAATAGGCCACAGTTTCTGCTCTCAAAGGAAGTTTCACAATGTGGTAGAGTTGATTAAGTAAAGAACACAAGTAGCTGTAACATAAGCCAAGAATCCTAAATGTCCTAAGGGAAGCACTGAGTTCTGTGAGAGTTCAGTGAGTAGGAGTTTCAGTGGAAATTTTTTTCCAGGTTTTTTTTGGAGAGCCAGGGAGTGGGACTATACTGGGAATGTTTCAAAGAAGAGATGGTATATGTGAACTGGACAGAGAAAGAGCAGTAGGAGGGAAGAGGAAACAGTATAAGCTAGCATCAAGGGTCCAGAATGCATGGAGGATGGATAGAGGCTGATTAAATAGCTTTAGATTTGGGTACAGGGTAGATAGAAAAGGTCAGAAAGGAAGACCAAAGGATGTCCTGAAGGATCTTGAATGCCACTTTACCCAGAGCTATCAAAGGTATTTGAATAGGAACCTAACATTATCAGAGACCTATGCTTTGTTTTTGCTTTCATTTCCATTCTTGTTCTAGAAACATTTCCGTTACCACAATATACCTCTGAGTCATGTTGACAATGAGCCTTTGAATGTCACATACTCTTTCTTTCCTCTTTTCTTTTTTCTCTTTCCTTATTTCTCTCTTTCTTTGTAAACAAGTATGTGTTAAGTGCTTGTTCCTTTTCTGTTTTATCAACAGAGGGAAGCTCACGAGAGAGAGATGGCAGAACAGTTTCGTTTGGAGCAGATTCGCAAAGAACAAGAAGAGGAACGTGAGGTGGGGCATAATTTTAAGAAAAGTTATTCAAAAGCTGGGTTGTATTTGATACTGAAGCTGTTAACCTACCTTCCTTCCTTCCTTCCTTCCTTCCTTTCCTTCCTTCCTTCCTTCCTTCTTTCTTTTTCCTTCCTTCCTTCCTTCCTTCCTTCCTTCCTTCCTTCCTTCCTTCCTTCCTTCCTTCCTTCCTTCCTTCCTTCCTTTTTGAGATAGAGTCTTCGCTCTGTCACCCAGGCTGGAGTGCAGTGGCACCATCTGGGCTCACTGTAGCACCATCTCGGCTCGTTGTAGCCTCCACCTCCCAGGTTCAAGTGATTCTCCTGCCTCAGCCTCCCAAGTAGCTGGGTTGACAGGTGCACACCACCATGCCTGGCTAATTTTTGTATTTTTAGTAGAGACAGGGTTTCACCATGTTGGCCATGCTGGTCTCGAACTCCTGACCTGAAGTGATCCACCTGCCTTGGCCTTCCAAAGTGCTGGCATTACAGGCGTGAGCCACCGCACCCAGCTGCAAAACTGTTAATATTTCTTACAACTTATTTCTCTCTACTTTTCCTAGACTCATTTTAGTATGGAAGACCTAACGTTTCCTTAATTATTCCTGATCTGTTGTATGGAACTCTTAGAAAACTTGATCTTGTACTAGATTCATGATTTTCTATAATCTTTGCCTTTTGTGCCAACAAATATTTGTTGGCAAATATTTCTCATCCTTCCTGCATATTGTTTCACCCTAAGAATAGAAAGATTGTATCTCTTCTCCCTTCCACAGTCTTCACTTTACCCACCAAAAGATACTGTGAGTTACTTTTGTAACATCTTGCATTGAGCTCCCAAATATGGGAAATTCATTTAGCTTCATTGATTTTTTCCATGAGTTCATGTCATGTCCATAGCAATATAGAGGATTTTTCTTCATTCACTCATTTTGCAAACATTTTTGGGATATGTACTATGTGCTCCAAATCTGTTAGGGAACAGTGATGCAGACATGGATCCTGCTCTCCAGGAGTTCCTACTCTTATAAAAATAGAATTATAATACTGTATGTAAACGTTATTATAGAGGTATGCCTAAGGTGCAGTAGGCACAAACAGAATGGGGGTCAAATGACTTCCTAGGCTGGCTTCATAGAAAAGAACATTCAGAACTTTTTTCCAGATGTAGGATTAATGGCAAGATTCACTTATAAAAAGAGGAAGCCATCTAACAAGCAATGGAAAGGCCTGAAGGGCCCTAACTGGGGTTGAGGAAAACTCTGTTAGTTATTACTCTCAGTCAAAGTATGACACCACTTTCACTTGTTTAACAAATGTTTTTTGAAGAAGACCTGTGCTGAGCACTGCCAGGGAAACAAAGGATAATAAAACGTTTTCTGCCTATAAGAAGATATTACATCTTAGAGGGAATATACAGCCTGTCTAGGAGTAACAGCAAATCAAGAAAAAATGTGCTAAATGACATAGAAATAAAAGCAAAATACTTAGAGAGTTCAAGGCCAAAGGAAAAATCTTTTACAGCTGAGATAATCAGACAATGTACAGATGAAGTAATATTTGAGTCAGGTCTTAAAAGATAAGTGAAACTTAACTGTTTGGAAATCAAAGTTTATTCATGTCAAAACTGTTGTGAGTATCTATCACATATATACAAGATATTATGCCTGACAAACCCTAGTCTGCACTCTGAGGACTGTCAATAATGGAAGGTAGAAAATATTTTGTTGAATGTCTTCTGTGTATTAAATAGTTTGCTAGCTGCTTTACGTATGCTTATCAATTAACCATTAAAACAAGCTACAAGGTTAGAGATTTATCTTTATAAGTGAAAAAAACTGAAGTTCATTGAGGAGTTACACATACAAAAATGAGAACAGCTGAGATTCTCATCCAGGACTTTATGACTATAAAGCTGTTTCTCATACTCCATTCCAGTACAAAACCCTATATCATTGTGTCCACAGGAGTCATATATGCCAAGTTTCACAAAAGTTTAGATAAGGGAGAAATTAGTCACTATCCTTTTAGGCTATTTCAAGAAATATAGTTTAGGATTCTTGCTCCTTTATGCTGTCGTTCACACATGCACACACTCTCTAGCTCTGTGTGTGTTTGTGTGTGTATTAGTGTATCGTCAACCATACTGGCTTGCTAAAATGTCAAGGGTACACAATTAACTCAGTGTTCTGGATCTAAAGCTTGGCAGCGTATGTAATTTCATCTGATGATTTATCTAATTTACCATGAGCTGAAACTTTCTTTCTTTCCAAATGTAGATAAAAGCCCATCATCTTACAGAAGACCCTATAAACATAATTCAGTATATGCATTCCAGCTGTTAACATGTGAGAGGTTGGGGTACAGTGGGGGAGAGGACAGGCCATATTTTGCACCTAGTCATTACTTAAACTTTTCTATTGATATGCTCCCATAAAATGCAAGTTTGGATAATACTATGCACTCTATTCTCCCTTAACCAAGTGTCACAAAGGCTCTTATAAATCCCACCATTAAGAAATGGTTTATTTTCATTTAGTCCAATCTTATCCAAACTTATTTGCCCCTTTTTTAAATGGAACAACAATTAACATATCATGGCACCCTAGTGTATCACAAACCACTGTTTGGGAAAAGCTGGTATTGTGCAACCTCTGAAGAAACTGAGACCCAGAAAGATTATATGGTTTACCTATGGTCACCAAACTGGTTGAACACCTAATCTGGATCAGAAGCCGGGTCACCTGACTTTTCACAGCAACACTACCTGTCTTCTAACTGGAAATCCTAACCCATATAATTACATTGAGAAACAAGAGTGGTTTTATTGTTTTGATTATCTTCAATATTCTAAGATCCTTTAGAAAAAAGAAGTATTGAACAGTAAAATCACCTTGGTTGCAGGGAAATTCCTTAATGGTTAGCCTCATTTTGCTGTGTGATAACTGTTGGAGTGAAATCAAACATCTAGAAAAGTATATTGATCTGGTCATTGGCCCTAATAAGGAGAAAGGCTGTAAGACTATTCTGAGGGAAAAACAACAGCAAAGATCTCCTGTTTTATTAATTTATATATGTACTTATTCTTTCCAAAATCAGTTTCAAGAAACTTACATGAATACATGCAATTCAAAGGGATTAAGAAAGAGTAGATATAGAAATAAAGGAAAAGGACAAAGGAAGATAATGCCAAAGATAAGACTAACATGTTGACAACAGATAATCTAGCACAAGCACCAAATCCATGTGATAGGGTGCTGTACATTTGTTCCATAAAATCTGTTCTATACTTATCTTGGGCCAAAACAAAGGAAAATATGATAGTTTACAAGTTTTACTTTGTGCGTAACATCAGATCTGAAGGCTAGTTTCTCAGAATTTTTCCACATTTTCTAGCAATGAGATTTTAGAGCAACGTTTCCTATATTCCTGTTCAAGAGGAAGCTGTGCAATGTAGTGAATACTAACCCCAACTATATCTAATAGCTACTGTGACAATGGCAAGTTATGTGTGACAATGGCAAGTTATGTATGACAGCTCCTTAAAACTTTTTAAATGTAATTCTAAATCATAAGGCTAAAGTACAATATAGTAAAATCATCCCTGCAAAGGCCCAAATACTACATTTTTTCTGATTAAGGGATGGACTTTATAGTAACTAGAGAAATGCGTGAAATATATATACTCCAAGAAAGCCTTCCTGAGTACTGCCTTTTTCTACTGAGTTTTTGGTAAGCAGAGAAATTTTCAGCTAAGGTTTTTGAGTCTCAGATCTTTTATTCACTCAATATTTAGCAAATATTTAGTTAATCTCCTTCTGTGTGCAAATTATTAAATCAGGTGCTGTGGACATTATGCTGTAGGTGCGAGGCATAGTCCAGCCCTCAAGGAGCTTACTGTCTAATGCAAGAGGGTAGACAAATGCAAAATCACTACAGGAAAAGATACCATACATTATAAAAACCACTAAAATAGCACAGGATGTTTATTTGGAGGAAGCTGATATCTAACTAGGAAGGCAACAAGAAAGACTTCACGGTGCGCCCGTAGAGATGTGAATTTAAAAAAAAAAAGACTTCACAGACTTTGATGGTTAAAGATGAAGTAGAAGAGCATTTTGTCTGGACTAATGAATAGATGGATGGATGGTTGGATGGACACCAAAGGGAAGTGCAAGAGTAGTCATGAACAAAAGGGGAACGGCACAGGGCTTGCTCAGGGAACAGTAAATGAACAAACTTAGAACACAGTCGAATTATTAGAGCTATGGCTAAAAGGCCTGAATTTTGGCGAATCTTGGGTGAATTAAAATAGATACTAAGCTATTCCCTTTTGCTGATGGTTCTCTAGAAAGAAAAGTTAATTTTTGCCTGTCTACCCAAACTGTTTCCTTTTATGCCTTCGTGCCACCTTAAGTAGAAAATATTAAGTAATATTAATGACTACTAAGTGGGAAAACAGAAGAACATGGAATTAGAAACCTTGGCACTTCCTCTTCAGTTTTCTGTTTCACCTCACAACCACTCTACAAAATTGGTAATATGGTTTGACTCTGTGTCCCCACCCAAATCTAATATCAAATTGTAATCCCCACATGTTGAAGGAAGGGCCTGCTGGAAAGTGATTGGATCATGGGAGCGCCATTTCCCCTTGCTGTTCTCATGATGGAGTTCTCACAAGATCTGATGGATTAAAAATGTGGCACTTCCTCCGTTGTTCTCTCTCTCTCTCCCCTGCCACCATGTGAAGAAGGGCTTTGCTTCCCCTTCGCCTTCCACCATGATTGTAAATTTCTTGAGGCCTCCCAGTCATCCTTCCTGTTAAGCCTGTGAGTCAATTAAACCTCTTTTCTTAATAAATTACCCAGTCTCAGGTTGTTTTTTTGTTTTTTTGGTTTTTTTTTTTTTTTTTTTTTTTTTTTTTGAGACAGTCTCGCTCTGTTGCCCAGGCTGGGGTGCAGTGGTGCAGTAGCACAATCTCGGCTCACTGCAACCTCTGCCTCCTGGGTTCAAGTGATTCCCCTGCCTCAGCCTCCTGAGTAGCTGGGACTACAGGCACCTGCCACCACGCCTGGCTAATTTTTTATATTTTTAGTAGAGACGGGGTTTCACCGTGTTAGCCAGGATGGTCTTGATCTCCTGACCTCCTGATCTGCCTGCCTTGGCCTCCCACAGTGCTGGGATTACAGGTGTGAGCCACCGCGCCCAGCCTCAGGTAGTTCTTTGTAGCAGTGTGCAAACAGACTAATACAATTGGTAAGGATGATATTATTATTACTGTTTTACAGAGGATGAAAGTAAGATTATAGCAGGATTTAAAAACCTATTTTTGGCCAAACACAGTGGCACATACCTGTAATCCCAGCTACTTGGGAGGCCGAGGTGGGAGGATCAGTTGAGCCTAGGAGTTCAAGGCCAGCCAGAGCAACATGGCAAGACCCTATCTCTATTTAAAAAAAATAATAATAATAATAATTTCTTTTTTTTATTATACTTTAAGTTCTAGGGTACATGTGCACAACATGCAGGTTTGTTACACATGTATACATGTGCCATGTTGGTGTGCTGCACCCATTAACTCGTCATTTACATTAGGTATATCTCCTAATGCTATCCCTCCTCCCTCCCCCCACCCCACGACAGGCCCCGGTGTGTGATGTTCCCCTTCCTGTGTCCAAGTGTTCTCATTGTTCAATTCCCACCTATCAGTGAGAACATGTGGTGTTTGGTTAAAAAAAACAATAGTTTTAAAAAGATATTTTTAAGCCTACTTTTAAATTTTTACCTAACGTATAAGCCTGATAAAAGCAGAACCAGAGCTTCTATCCAGTATTCATTCTACTTATTAATCCAAATTCAAAGAATGAAGGTGGGACCATAAATTGGTTATTAAGGTAAAACTGCTCTTTATAATTTGTATTTTTATCTTATGTAAGTTGCTTTTGTCCACACTGGGCCATAATTATAATCATCCCTGTCATCATCATCATTGGCATTATCACCACTATCGCACAATTAATATGTGCTAAACTCAGTGGTGATCACTTTATAGGCATTAATTATCTTATTGAATTTTTACAATTCAATAAGGTAGGTGCCAATACATAAATATACCTTATTATAATTATGGAGACTATATATATATGTATATCCACTATTTCTTCAGTACTTTCAGTTTGAAGTGTTCCGTTGTTCTCATGAACCATTAAAACAGTCCAGAAATTCTAGCTTCATGGTGTCCAAATCACAGCCTACAGACTGTTCTTTATATCCAGAAGCAAGCAAAAATCATCTATTTGAATTTTGATTTAGGAAATATGATCATTTGCCTTACTTACTTTATCCAGAAATGAGGTCATAGTAGTAGAGTAGTAAGCTATCCATACTCTCCAGGTTGCCAGGAATAGAGATTGACTGCAGAATCGGGTCAAATCAACTGTCTCTATATGGGATCCATTCTACTCCTTTGGTGATCTCATCCAGTATTATGACTATTATATTGACTATATTATATGGCTATATTATATTGTCTATACGTTTGACTCCCAGATTTATATTTCCAGCTCCTCCCTTTCCCTGAACTCCAGACTTGAATATCTAACTGCTGGCCCATCATGTCTACTTAGATGTCTCATATACATCAGAAACTTAATATGTTTTAAATTGCACAACTGATCCTACCCTCCCCACCCAAACCTGCTCTTTCTGCAGTCTTCCCTATCTCAGTAAATGGAAAATCTTTCCAGTTGTTAGAGCCAGAAACCTTGGAATTATCCTTGACTTATCTCGTTTACATCCATATTTAATGAGTAAATCCTGTGGGCTCTGCAAATATATGCAGAACTTAAATGTTTAACTCCACCACTATCACCCTCATCTAAGCCACCATTGTCTGTTATCTGGATTACTTTAGTAGCCTCCCAACTTGATTCCACATCTCCATTTTTGCCTTTCCTATAGTCTTAATAAATCCTTTAAAAATCATTTGTCACATCATGTCACTTCAAAAACTTGCAGTGGCTTACATCTCAAAATAAAACCTGAATTCTTACAGTAATTCTAATCAAATATCTACAAGATTTTCTATAGAGATTGATAAACTGATTCTTAAATTTATATGAAAAAGCAATAGAACTGGAATAGTCTAAACAATTTTGAAAAAGAAAACAAAGTTGGACGTTACTAGAGTGCAGGACTTACTATAATCAAGACATAGTGGTATTTACAAAAAAAAATGGACCCATGAATCAATGGAGTCCAGAAATAGACCCACACATATATGGTCAATTGATTTTCAACAGAGATACAAAGGCAATTCAATGGGGAAAGGATAGTCTTTTCAACACATGATGCTGCAACAATTGAATATTTATATCCAAAAAAAATCCCATAGAAAACCAGTTTTAAAATGCTTCAATTCATATATTGCATCACAAGCAAAAATTAACTCAAAATGGGTAATAGACCTAAATGTAAAATCTAAAACTATTCAAGTCCCAGAAGAAAACGTAGGAGAAAATCTTCATGACCTTGAGTCAGGCAAAGATTTCTTAGATCTGACACCAAAGACACAACCTATAAAATAACAAATATGTAAATTAGACTTTATCAAGATTAGAAACTTGTACTATTTATAAAATACTGCTAGGAAATTGAAAAAACAAGCCACAGACAAGGGGAAAATCATATATCTGATGTCCAGAATACAAAAAGAACTCTCAAAACTCAATAATAAGAAAGCAACCCAAGTATTAAAATGAGCAAAATATTTAAAAGACACTTCATCAAAGAAAATATACAGAAGGCAAATAAGTGCATCAAAATATGCTCAAAATTTTTAGCCGTTAGGGAGATACAAATTAAAACCACAATATATGTACACCTTTTAGAAGACTTTTTAAAAGAAAAAGGGACAATACCAAGTACTGGCAAAGATGAGGAGCAACTGAACTCTTACACATTAATGACGGGAATGCTAAATAGTACATCCACATCCACTTTGGAAATTAGCTTGAAACTTTCTTGTAAAGTTAAACATGCATATACCATATGACCCGGCAGTCACACTCCTAGGTATGTATTTACACAAGTGAAATGAAAGTAACAGTAAACTGCTTTCACATAAAGCAGTTTACATTCATACAAAAATATGTATGAAAATGTTTTTGGCAGCTTTATTTGTAGTCATCTAAACCTGGAAACAGCTCAGGTGTCCCTCAACTGGAGAAGGGGTCATCAAGCTGTATGTGTATCTATACAATGGAATACTACTCAGCAATAAATAGAAACAAACTACTGATATATTCAACAACATGGATGAATCTCAAATATATTATGCTAAGTGAAGGAAGTCATTTATGTAACATTTATGGTTACATTTATATAACATTCTGGAAAACACAAAACTAGGATCAGAATAAAGATTAGAGGTTAGGAGCTAGGGATGAAGAAATTTGAACGGGGAGAGAGGTAATAGAACTCTTCTTTGTTGGTGATGGTACTTATGCAAATATATGCATTTGTCAAAACTCACAGAACTGTACATTTAAAAGGATAGAGTTTGCTGTATATAAATTATACCTTAATTTTAAAATAGGAAAATAATTATTAATTGTCCTTCCCAAAGCCATATATGATCTAATCACCCCTCTCCTTTGTTTCCACTGTAACTTTAACTCCTACCCCTCTCCCCTTGCTCATTCCATTCCCGCCACATTGGCTGCCTTGCTATTCTTCAGTCAAGCCAGGCACCTGGGCCTTGCTACTTACTGTGACTCCTGCCTATAATATACTTCTTTTAGATCTAAATATCCATGTGGAACCCTCTTTCCTTTAGACCTTTGCTTACTGAGGTTTACAGTATTTAAAATTTTACCCCTCCCCCCACCTTCTACCAGCATTCCCTGCACTCCCTCCATAGCACTCACCACTTTGTGAAAAATGATATAGTCTTGTATCACCTAAGGATGGGAAAATGTGTCATTGGCAATTCCGTTGATGTGCAAACATCCTAGACTTTACTTACACAAACATAGATAGTATAGCCTGCTACACACCTAGGCTATTATATGGTATAACCTGTTGCTCCTAGGCTACAAATCTGTACAGCATGTTACTGTATTGAATACTGCAGGCAACTGTAATACAATGGTAAGTGTTTGTATATCTAAATGTAGAAAAGGTACAATAAAAATGATAAAAAGGTACAGTACAAAGGATAAAAAATGTTGCACCTGTGTAGGGTACTTACCATGAATGAAGCTTGCAAGACTGAAGTTGCTCTGGGTGACTCAGTGAGCAAGTGGTGAGTGAATATGAAGGCCTAGGACATTACATTACAGCGGACTTTATAATCACTGTACACTTAGGCCACACTAGGTTTACTTTTTTTCTTTTTTCAGCAATGAATAAACCTTAGCTTACTATAACTTTTTTACTTTATGTAAACTTAATTTTTTTAACTTTCTGATTATTTTGTAATAGCTTAAAACACACATTGTACAGCTGTCCAAAATTTTTCTTTCTTTATATCCTTATTCTATAAGTTTTTATCTATTAAAAATTTTTCCTTCTTTTTAAACTTTTTATTAAAAACTAAGATACATGCACATTAGGCTAGGCCTACACAAGGTCTAGATCATCAATATCATTGTCTTCCATATTCACATCTTGTCCACTGGAAAGTCTTTGGGGCAGTAACACACACGGAGCTGTCATCTCTTATTATAACAATGCTTTCTTCTGGAATACCTTCTGAAGGACGTGCCTGGGGCTGTTTTATGGTTAACTTTTCTAAAAAATACGTAGAAGGAGTATACCTTAAAATAACAAATAAAAGTATAGTGCACTAAATACTAGGCAATAGGAATTTTTCAGCTCCGTTATAATCTTACGAGACCTCCATGGTTTATACAGTCCATCGTTGACTGAAAAGTCCCTATGTGGCACATACTATCTTTTCTTATGTGTGTCTTTGTTGTCTTTATCCCTACCCTACTAGAATGTAGGCTCCATTTAGGCAGAATTTTTTATCTATTTTGTTCACTGCTATTTTGCCATCATTTAGAACAATGCCTGACTCATAGAAGATGCTCAGTAAGAATTCATGGAATTAATGAATGTTAGCTTTAGCCTATTTAACACTGTGCCTCAGCCAGCTATAAACCGTTATTTATACATACTCATAGAAACCTAGAGGTTGTTTTGTGTGTATATATTTATGTATACATCTGTGTATATAAGTAAATTAAGGCAGTCTTTGATTCTTATTGTAAGAGACTGTTGTAAGTGTGTATTATTCTTTCTGTTTAAAAAATGTAACCTTGTAGTGACAGTCTTTTGTGGGTATCTATTTTCACTGCCTAATTTCACTTCAAAAAATAGCCCCATTTCTCATCCCTCAGATATGCTTTAAATACTCACATATTTTTAGTAGAAAAAAAAGTACCAGATCAGTTCATATTTCTAACTTATACCAGGTTTCCTTGTTTTATTACAAACCAAAAATAATGCAAATAAACTATATTTGTTGAGCAAATCAAACTGAAGTTTAACACTGGTGTTAACCATGACTCGTTTGAGTGTAGGTGTCCTTTATGTTGTTGTTTTACAACAGTGTTTGCTTACAGGAGGCCCTTGCTCTTAGCCAGTATGTTTGAAACTGAACTACTGATGTATTTTTGTTATTTTTTTGGCAGTAGAACTGTTGGATATTCAAATCTCAAGGTTGCTGATTTACCTCGTATCTCTTCATTGTTTTCCACATTGGTCCATTGGTGTGGGATGTATGAGGTCTGTTTTCTTTCTGGGGAAAAGCCCTGGAGACTGTATACATTGAGGAGCAGACATTGTCTGTATAATGAATGAAGTAACGAGCTACTGTTGTTTATTCTTCTGTAATATAATTGGTTGAATTCAGACAATAATGTAGCATCTGTTATACTATGCAGGGAAATGTCAAAACAGAAAGCAAGCAGACAGGTGGATTAAAGGGAGAAAAGGAGAGAAAACCAAGAAATATCACATTAAGTTCTGATTTAAAGTAGGCGAAAAGGAATAATCATAACAAAAATGATAACACCAACAGCTGTCATATGTTGATCACAGTATTACATATAGCATGAGGATCAATGCTCAGCACTTGTCACTGAGTGCTGACCAAGTGTCAGCATTTGCTAAGTGGCGTCAGGGACAGCGCCAAGATGGCCGATTAGAAGCAGAGTCTCCCATCAAAAAGAACCATAATTAGCATGTGAATCCTGCACCAGCAACCAAGTATTCAGGTTCTCTCATCAGAACTGACTAGGCAGCTGGCGTGATCCAGAGAGGAAGGTAGAGCAGTGTGGTGTGGCGGCCCACCTAAAAACATTCTGCATCTTATAGAAGGATGCTGTGAGGAAGATGTTATCGGCTCTATTCCTATGAGGAAACTGAAATTCATAAAGACTGTCATTTGCCTAATTCCCAGGATTTGAACGCATGTCTGTCATACCCCAAAACCTATGTTTCTAATCATAACATTGCATTTAATTAAAATTTTTTAAACTGCACTGTCAGAAGTCAGAATACTGACTTTGAGGGGAGGTAGTTCCCAGGAAAGGGTATGCTTCTGAGATACTTGATCAGAGTTGTAGTTTTACAGATATGTTGACTTTGAAACTTTATCAAGTTGTACACTTAAGATTTGTGCACTTTTTCATATGTATGTTATACTTTAATAAAAACTTTAAAACAATTACAAAATACATGATTTTGAACAGAAAGGATAAAGCTTTATACAATACAACACTGACTCAAATTTTGAAAAAAGTTTCAAATATATAAAATATGCCTGAAAAATTAAGGAAGAGTATCTGGGTGATGAAAAAGTTTTGGAAATAAATAGTAGTGATGGTTGTACAACATTGTGAATTTACTTAATGCTACTGAATTGTACATTTAACAATGGTTAAAATATTTTAAAAATTAGTGGATATAAACTGATGGTGATGGCTATCTTGATGGTGAATCTACAGATTAGTTTTAATGTTTTACTTTTAATCTGTTTTTTCAATGAATTTATATTACTTTTGTAATTGGGAAAAATGTTTTATAATCTCAAAAGATATGGTTGTAAAGAACCACCATTGTGGCCAGGCGCAGTGGTTCACACCTGTAATCCCAGCACTTTGGGAGACCTAGGTGGATGGATCACTTGAGGTCAGGAGTTTGAGACCAGCCTGGCCAACATGGCAAAGCCCCATCTCTACTAAAATACAAAAATTAGCCAGGTGTGCTGGCACGCACCTGTAATCCCAGCTACTCGGGAGGCTGAGGTGGGAGAATCGCTTGAACCTGGGAGACGGAGGTTGCAGAGAGCCGAGATTGCGCCATCACACTCCAGCCTGGGCGACAGAGTGAAACTCCATCTCAAAAAAAAAAAAAAAGAACCACCACTGTAACTGAGAAATAGATGATCCCATTAACAGTTTAGAAAATGTATATAACTCTAATCCACAGAGGTTTATACTTACAAGCAACTCATGGTTTCCCTTTAAGGGACACATGTGGAAAATTAATCTGAACAGTTAGTGCAAGGAGGAGTCATACCTCAGAGAAAGGAGAAGATGTTTAATTCTTAGTTACTAGAAGTAGAGGCTATGAGATTCATATTCTTCTAGCATTTATTGAACACCTAGTACGTGCCTACAATCATACTAAGCACTTTTACATATATTATTTCAGTTAGCATGTTAGTTTATTCCTTCCCTTCCAAGTGCATATTGAGCATCTACTTTGTGCTATGCACTGTATTTGGAATGAGAAGTAATACATGCTCCCATGCCATTATGGAGCTTGCAGGCTAGTAAGAAGGCCAGGCATTAAATAAATAACTATGGTACTAAATAGTGAATGCTGTAATTGACATATCAACTAGCATTTAATTTTGATATACACAGATGTTAATCCATTCACTGGGTTACTAATATATGATAATGTTACTAAAATAGTTTAATATTTGGAAATACTCAGCTGAAACTCATTGCTGTCGCAGAACACCAATATCAGGTAAACTGCTACTCATGCTATCAGAAAAAAGGGCAAAAGTGACTGAAAAAAAAGCAAAAATATATTTTTAACTGTATTTCTTATGTCTCCATTTCTGGGCATCAATTTCCCCATATAAAAAATGAGAGTATTGGGCTGTTTGACAAATGCAGCCCCTTCCAGATCTGATATTCTGTGCAGATCTCTTCATTATAAGAAAAGCAGCTATCACTGAAGCCTATTATGTGTCAGATGCCATACTGAAAATTTTATATATATATGGTCTATATAATTCCCATCTCTGTAATCCCCTATAAGGTAGGTGGTTATTCAGTGCCTCCAGAAGGAAAGTAACCTCAGTCATAGGCTAGACTAGCTTTGTCTATACATTGCAGAAATTTTGAATGATTTAAAAAAAATAGTTCAGTATTAGAACCAACCAAATTCACCTGCGTGACACACATTACCTAATTTCTTATCCATACTTGTGTCTGAGCAAACTTTTTCTGTTGGTTAAACATTTTTTAACAGATAATTTGCATAGGTCAAAATAGAAAGGCATATGCAGAAAACACCAGATGTCACCTCTTCCACCTTGTTTCCCCTACCCTCTGTAGGTTACCATTTTTGTTTCTTTTTATTTGTGTAAGTTTATTACCTCCAAAGAACCAGCTTATAAGCTGACTAGTTATATATTTCTTTTTTTTCTAAATTATTTCTTTATACTGTTATTCTCAGCTTTCCTTCCACTTATTTTATTGGTTTTTTTTCACTAGCTTTTAAATTTTTTTATTACCAGACACTGATAATTTAGCTTTTAAAATCTAATTCTTAATTCACTTATTTTTATTCTTTAATTTATAATGGCATACGAATGTTAAGGCTGTGAATTTCATCAGAGCACTGCTTTAGATGAATTTCATGGATTCTAACATGAAGTCTTTCTCAGGGTTCTAGACAAAAAAGGTTTTAGTGATTTTTATAGATTCCAATGTTGTTAGGGACCTCAGAGACAATCTCCTTCTAATGGAATGTCACATGTGAAACAATGTAATACTAAAACCTGGATTCAAGCCCACGCTAGCCATGAGACCTTCCAACAGTTTGCTTCACCTGCTTAAGTCAAATGAAGGGTTTGGTCCATCTGTAGGTCCAGAAATCAACCACTAAGATTTGGCCAAATCCCATAGCGAGTTAGTGGCAAAGCCAGAACTAGGACTGTGGTCTCCTTCTGCCAATAAACCTGATATTTGAAGTTCTTTCCATTTTTTAAAACTTTTCTTTTATTGTGGCAAAATATATATACAGTAACTTGCCATTCTTAAGTATACAATTCAGTGGCATTGATTATATTCACAGTATTGTCCAACCACCACCACTATTTCCAAAATGTTTCATCACCCTAAACAGAATTTCCTCATTCCATTTTGACATAAACATAATAATCCAGTATTCTGCAGTTACTTCTACTTGTATTTCTCAAATATAAATATATCTCTGTTTGTGTGTGTCTTTTCTGAATGCATCTAATAGCTTTAATTCATACCCTAGAAAGGTATCAATTGGGTATTTGATATGAATGTCTTTGATCACAAATATCTGAGCCCTTCAGTTAAAAAAATGCCTTTTCTGTGTAGTTTCCTATATATTTAATAATATGTGTCATCAAGGTGGAATTTATTTTAATTACTTGCCTATTGGACTAATATTAAGAAAATGAAAAATACATTATTCTATTGTTCAAGCATTTGGCTTGGCTAATAAATAGGGCAGTGACTTTTCAATGAATTTCTAGAAAACAGCAGCTTTTTTTCTGGTGTCTTCCTCCCCACTCTCCATAGTCCAGTCCTTCTCACATTTTAACACCTGGTTTTTGCTCTCCCTAGGCCATCCGGCTGTCCTTAGAGCAAGCCCTGCCTCCTGAGCCAAAGGAAGAAAATGCTGAGCCTGTGAGCAAACTGCGGATCCGGACCCCCAGTGGCGAGTTCTTGGAGCGGCGTTTCCTGGCCAGCAACAAGCTCCAGATTGTCTTTGATTTTGTAGCTTCCAAAGGATTTCCATGGGATGAGTACAAGTTACTGAGCACCTTTCCTAGGAGAGACGTAAGTTCCCATACCTATCTCAGGAAGTATATCCAGGTGGGAGATGTGCCATCATTAAAGCTGAACAAAGTAGTTCAAGAAAAGTCCCATGGTGCAGGCAACTACAAGACAAACAGGAGTCCTTCTTTGTTCTGCACACCATTCTCTCCTTAGCTTTTGGAGAAAGTATGGCTTCCCAGGCCAGCAGATATGTACCCAGTAGCCTATGTAAGAAATTAGGTACTAGATCTTCCTTCCTAGCTGTTTTCCCTATTCCAGCATTCCAGTCTTTGCTGATGTCTCATCTGTATTCCTCAAATGAGATATATCTGTAGCCCTCAGAATATACCTGAGAATTGTATGTTTAACAGCTTAACAGTTAGATATCAGGGTCAATGAATGTAGGTTCACTAAGAATGAGTCATGCAAAACAAACAGTGTTTTGTGATTTGATAGTCTTACTACCCTGGGAAGTTACAGAGGGTGACCTGTATTCACTGTGTGCTTGCATTACAGCACAATATTTGATAGTCTCTCATAGTATTCTGGGGCAAAGTAGAGAGATATAGATGTGTTAGATTCATTGCTGATTAAATGGTTGTGTCCAAAAAATGTTAACCACCATTTCCTTGTAGGGAACCAAGAGGCTCTGTATTTAATCTTTTATTACTTACCATATTTGTTGGCAACCTAAATGAAGACTTTATCAGATTTATAGATTATGAAAAATAAGATTCAAGAAAAACTTAAAATACTGAAACTTACACAAAATGAAGCTGCAGAAATTTCACAGAAATGTGTAGAAATAGATTCCTTTAGTAGAGGTTATGGTCGAATTAAGCTGAATACACGTTAATAACGCGTTGTGGCTGCCAACAAAAAAGCTAGCTCCTGTTTTAGAGGTGTAATCCCAACCAGAGATTAACTTAATGGTCCTGTTTAACTCTGCACTAAGATAAACTACCCACTGGGTGATGGGTACACCAAAATCTCACAAATCACCACTAAAGAACTTACTCATGTAACCAAATACCTGTTCCCCAAAAACCCATGGAAATAAAAAATTTAAAAAAAAAACAAACTACCCCTGAAATAGTCTTTAGGCTTCATGCTGAAAAACGAAGCCTGAAGAAATAGGAGCATGTCTGGAGCAGGGCTGGTAGGAAGGTGAGGGAGCTGGAAATCATGTCATTTAAGGAACATTACCTCTAAAGAAGGAAGGACCATGAGAGATGTGATTGTTGTCTTCAGCTACTTGAAGGCGTGCCTTGTAAAAGAGGGATCTGATTTTTTGAGGCTGCAGGGGCAGAACTGGGACCAATGAGTTGAAAGTTACACGAGACAAATTTGGCATAGTGTAACAAAGCATTTTCTAAGAAAGGAATATCTTGTGTCGTGAAGTGTTAATTTTCCTATCATTGGAGATTACCAAATACTACTCTTTTCAGTAATAACAGATATATATATGGAGAGGGATTCATCTCTGGTATTCCTGCTTTATATGGAATGGGACTTGGACTTGCTTAGCTCTGAAATATACAATAAATCTTCTGTGATTCCATTGTGATCTAGGTATAGTAACCTAGCATACCAAAACCCAGAGTTTCATTAAGGTACATCTAAGTCCCTCACATTGGCTGTCAGGTTTGCAGGATAGAGACAGAAACTAGTAATATCCCCTCTGGGTGGAATGAGGATCTTGCCACTTATTTCTAAGCCCAGGAGACTGTAGTGGATCCCAGGTGCTGACTATTGTTCCTTTTCTCACTGGCCCTGCCTACTGCTCCAAGGTCATCCCCTTTATTTGTATATAAGGCACACAAACATGCACAAGGGAACACATGCCTGCATATGTTCTTACCACACAGCCAAGTATGAAAACTACCTTAACTTCTGTCACTGAAGTTGAACTCTCAGTGTGTGAACATTTAACAAAGAACCATTATCAAAGTGTTCAAGATCAGCCTTGTTCTCATACTTTATGTTCTGTGATGAAAATCTCACCTCAGAGAACTTAAAAAACTTAGGAGCTAAGTTTGCCCTTCCCAACCCTTAGTTTTAAGTCACTCCCTTTCTGAACGGGTCTCATCTTTAAAAATGGAAGTACTGAAAGAAATAGAGTTTAAGGACTTTGCATTTTAAAATTAAACTTTATTTTCTTTCAAATTAATTTTTAAAGCTTATTACTGACAGGGATGGGGTGAAAATATCTTAAAAGGAGCTAGGCTTTTTGATCATTATTAAGAACCTCTTTCCACAGGGTAAAACTCTGGACTGTGGAAAGTTGCTGTTGAAAGGAAACTGGGGAAATGTGATGTGAAATGTAGAGTGTTCTTGGGCCTGCTACTATCTCCCTGTGGTTGCCAGCATAGTGCTTCATATATAAGCATCAGTAACTGTTGTTGAATGTTAATAACCTCAGGCTCCCCTAATCTCTGGTTCCAGAATGAACAGAGGCTGGTCCAAATGAGAACAGATGCTCTAGGCCCACCCAGATTCCAGACCTAAACTAAGAAAGCCCACCCAGGACTCTTTAGGCCTCCTAGAGCCAGGGGTGGGGTGAGAGTTAAAGGCCCTTCATTCTTCTCTGAATTCTCTTTCAAGTCAAATGACTAGTGTTTTTGCAAGGCTATTCTGTAACAGCCATCTGTGTCTGCAAGGATTAGGATCTAATTTGTAAAAGTCATCTTAAATTACAGCCAAACTAAAGACTGTTAAAAAGCACATCTTAAGGCCTTGCCTCTTTAATAACAAATAATATAAGCCTTAACTCTAGGAGTCTTAATTGTGTCTTCAGCCTTTTCTCCACAAAGCAGAGACTGGTTTCTCAGCAGAGGACCTGGTAAGTGTTCTTCTGTACCTCCCATGCCTGCCACCCGCCCCCAACCAAAACAATACTTCATGTTAAGATTTCCGAGCTGTCTAACCATTTACTAAATGTCTGCTGAGCATAATTCCCTGAACTGAGCACTGTAGGACAACCAAAATAGCCGCAGACATAGGCCTTCCCCAGAAAACTGATTCAAGTTGTGGAAGCATTGAGTTACTTGGTTTTGGGGTTTGTGTGTGTGTGTGTGTGTGTGTGTGTGTGTGTGTGTGTGTGTGTGTGTGTGTGTATGTTTTCCCCAATTTTGCTAATAACAGTTACTAAGAGAAGGAATAGTATTTATTTCCAGAGCTCTACCTCCTGGACATGTTAGAGCCGTATGTACATCAGTGGCCCATTTGCCTTACTTGGGCATTGCCTTGGAAATGAGGTAGTTGAGTCCTAAAAGCTGAGTAATGACACTCACCCCACTACTCCTCCTATAGGCCAACTCCTGTCTCTGAGTTAGAGTAAGGGATTGCTGCCAGCTCCCCCAGCTCCCCTCCAGACCTACGGTAGCCCAAACATAGGCCCTTCCCAGAAAAGCTGATTATCACTCATGCCACTTGGTAAGAGGTTGTCAGTATCCCCCAGCCTTCCTCCTCTGTGCCACTTCCTTATCTTCCGTTTTCTCTCCTCTTTCCTTTTCTACCCCTTCCCTTTTTTCCAATCCTATTTTACCTGTTTTATCTTCTCCTCCATCTTTCCATTCTTCCCTTCTCCTTATTTCTTTATCCCACAACTCTTCTTTCTGCCTACTCTTTTTCCATTTTTTGCCTACCCATATCCACATCCCTCAGAGGAGCTCTGTCTACAATTGGAAAGTGAGATCTTTCAATTTATAAAATGACTGGAAAGCACTAGGAAAGGAGGATGAGGAATGGCAGATGAACTCTAAGAGTCCACTGATAGCCCATATGTATTGCCACTGATATAATGACACAGCCCCTGTTCTAGCCTAGGGAACGTGCCTTTTTCTAGATCTATAGATATGAATCCCCAAACAGACAGACATGCATTCAGGAATAAACTGTTTTCTTATATTTTATATCTAAAACAAAGTAATGAGGGAATTTATATTTTGCCCCAGCTTTCTAGGTTTTTATCTCTGTAACTATAACTCATAATTTTTGTTTCTCCCTCTAAGACTTAAAGGAACAGGAGAATGAGTATAATCAAGCTCCAGCATGGTTTTCCTAGAGTAGACCTTCAGTAAAGTTTTGTTTAAATGTACTGGGGGAAAAGCCTTTCAAATTTGGGGTATACAAATTCCTTCCTCTGTCACCCATCCACTTTTATTATGCTAAGCACCAAGCTAAACACTGCAAACACAGTGAAGAAAAACAATGGCATAGATCTCACCCTTGTAGAATTTACAGTCTGAATCCAGAAGCTACATCTAGATGAAGTTTGACTTGACTTCATCGATAACACATGGATACTATTTGCCACCATAAGGAGATAGAAGCAGTTTAATTCGCATTTAATTCATGTATTCTCTCATTATAGCAAAACATTTGCTGTGCAACCGCTCTTGTTTCAGCCTTCATACCAGGTGCTGGTGATACAGAAATTTTAAAAAAATTGTTACTGACCTTGAAGAGTTCACGTTATAGTAAAAACACACATCCAAAACAAATTGCATTGCAAATTATACCCACAGTTAGAAGGATAAGTAATTTCAGCAGGCTGTGATAACGGAAAGTATTATAAAGGAAGTTAATTTTACCTGAGCCTTGCTCAGAGAGATGTTCAGTGAGTGGAAGCAGAATAGCAAAGTCAGAAGTAAATGGTTCAGTGGTAGTTAGTCTTGCATGTGAATCCCACTCCATCATACTGAACATTGGACAACTTACTTGACCCTGCTGAACTTTTATTTCTGCATCTTTGAAAGAGAAATGATAATATCTGACAGGGTTGTGGTAAGCGTTATATTAAGTGAATATAAATTACTATATTCATAGCACATAAAACAGTATCTGCTGTAATAATACTAAATAGAGAGAAGCAGAAGAGGTAGGAAGGGCTTACAGTTAAAGAAAATGTGGCAGCAGTGAATTCTTTCTCTAGAACAGTGATGGATATCAAATTTGAGTTACAAATATCTAGCTGTAACCCAGGCTTAAGAATATATCATTGAAATCTTAATATCTGATATTTGCAAAGGATCTCAGAGATATGAAGGCCAATGCTGCCACTTTACTGGTGGGAGAATCAAGGGAGGTAAAATTAAGCACTTAAGTCACTTGAACAATTATAAAAGCAGAGCTGATACTGACATCCAAGTTTTCTTATGACCATTGCTTTTTGAGATTATTGAGTCCTTTTAAAAACTGTTAATAAATTATAGAGTTCCATTTTAAAATTAGAGTCATAGAACTAGAAAAATCAACATTAGAGACCACCTAGTAAATGCAATAAATTGCAGCTGCAAGCACCAGTATTTTAAAATATTTTGTACTACAAAAACCTTCCTATGGTAATACCTCTAATATTGCAGTGGGATTGATTTTCAATTTATATTAGACTAAGTTTTATTTTTTTAAAAAACAAGAGCCAGAAGGAAAAACTTTAATGCAATTGAATGACTGTATCTTAAAAGCTTTGTTCTCAAAATAAGCCAAGATGAAGCATCTAATTGGTGAAATACATGTTAAAGGTACTACTGCTGAGCTTGTTCCATTCCCCTCAGTTATTTTATGTCACTATATCTGGTTATTTGAAATTTTTCAGTATCCCTAAATAATCAAGATTCAGATAAAAAGAACTATGATTGTGTAATGGAACACAACTAGTATCTAGATGGTCGCAACATTAATTTTGCCTCTAAACTTCTCTCAAATCTGTTCTTTTCTTCTCTTTCCCTCTATACCACTGCCCAAGTCGTCATAGCCCAAATTAAACCTATGGCTTCCTAATTCATCTCCCTGCCTCCAGTTTTGCCTCCCCACGTCTATGCTCCCCACTGTCTCTTGAGTGATTTTTTTAAACGGCTTTGATGATCTCTGTCTCTCTCCTGCTTAAAAGCCTCCAGTGGGTTCTAATGGCCTGCAGAAAAAGTCCAAACTCCTTACCATGGCATATAAAATCTTCAAAATTTCACACCGTCTCCTTTTCTCACTTCTTCTGATTACCTCCTCAGCACATGCATCTCATCATTAAACCACAATAAACTGCTTGACTGAAAGAAACAAGAGACCTCACTAAGGTACAAAATACATTCACAGAATTATCCCACTCCTCTTCTGTCAGCTTTGGGGGATACCAAGACAGGTGTGGTGTTAATATCATTCAGCAGATGGGGAACATGAGGTCTTGACATGAAATTACTTGCTTGAGAGTGTACATTCAATTAATTAATGACCACTGAGGACTGCAGCCCAGGCCTCTTGATTGGCTTATTTTCAAAAGTTTTGTTGTAAAGAAAACTGGTCCTGGATTATTTGACAGGACACCTGAATTTTTAGGTAGAAGTCATTTGATAAAAACTGTTTACATAATATTTACAACATTCAAAAAAAAGTAAATAGCAAAAGGTTTAAAAGAATAATACAGCTGCTGCTTAAATAGGTCTATATATGAAACTCTAATCTGACACAACAGCAACCTAATTAAAGGGAAAAATACTAGCAAGGGCAGTTTATATTTCTTTAGGTTATTCATTTTGTTTAAGAAATTTATTTTCTAAATTGTAAGTTTTAAATTTTTTAAATTTTAATTGTTGGCCAGGCGCAGTGGCTCATGCCTGTAATCCCAACACTTTGGAAGTCTGAGGCAGACAGATCACTTGAGGTCAGGAGTTCAAGACCAGCCTGGCCTACATGATGAAACCCTGCCTCTACTAAAAAATACAAAAATTAGGCCGGGCGTGGTGGCTCACACCTGTAATCCCAGCACTTTGGGAGGCCAAGGTGGGTGGATCACGAGGTCAGGAGTTCAACACCAGCCTGGCCAAGATGGTGAAATCCCATCTCTACTAAAAATACAAAAAATTAGCCAGGCGCGGTGGCAGGCGCCTGTAATCCCAGCTACTTGGGAGGCTGAGGCAGGAGAATCACTTGAACTTGGAGGGCGGAGGTTGCAGTGAGCTGAGATTGCACCACTGTACTCCAGCCTGGGCGACAGAGTGAGACTCCATCTCAAAAAAAAAAAAAAAAAATTAGCCAAGTGTAGTGGCGTGCACCTGTAATCCCATCTACTTGGGAGGCTGAGGCACGAGAATTGCTTGAACCTGGGAGGCGGAGGTTGCAGTGAGCCAAGATCCTACCACTGGACTCTAGCCTGGGAGACAGAGCAAGACTCTGTCTCAAAAAAAATACATACAAATAAAATTTTAATTGTCATATAATAATTTTATATTGTTATGGGGTACAATGTGATGCAGTTTTGTTGTTGTTGTTGTTGTTGTTTGAGACAGAGTCTCACTCTGTCATACAGGCTGGAGTGCAGTGACACAATTATAGCTCACTGCAGCCCCAGCCTCCTGTGCTCAAGTGATCCTCCCACCTCACCCTCCCGAGTAGCTGGGACCACAGGTGCATGACACCACACCCAACTAATTTTTGTATTTTTTATAGAAATGGGATTTTGCCATGTTGCCCAGACTAGTCTCGAACTCCTGGGCTCAGATGATCTGCCTACTTTGGCTATCCAAAGTGCTAGGATTACAGGCATGAGCCACTGTGCCTGGTGCAATGTGATATTTTGATATATGTATTCATTGTAGAAAGAGTAAATCAAGCTAATTAGCACATCTGTCACCTCACCTGCTTTTTTTAAAAGGTGAGAACGTTTAAAATACTCAATCCCTGCTTTGGAATAGGGAAACTGAGGCACAAAAGAGGTTAGGTAACTTGCCCAGTGTCATAGTAAATATCAAAACTAGATATAAACCTTAGGTATATGACTGCGGAGCCTGTGTTCTTAATCCTTATGCCATCATGCTTCCTGAGCCAAATAAGAAATAAATCAGTCAGGTGGATTATCATCTAGAAAAATACTTTCAAGGCTGAGCATGGTGGCTCATGTCTGTAATTCCAGCACTTTGGGATGCCGAGGAGGGCAGATCACGAGGTCAGGAGATCGAGACCGTCCTGGCTAACATGGTGAAACCCCGCCTCTACTAAAAATACAAAAAATTAGCCAGGCATGGTGGCACATGCCTGTGGTCCCAGCTACTCGGGAGGCTGAGGCAGGAGAATCACTTGAACCCAGGAGACAGAGGTTGCAGTGAGCCGAGATTGCGCCACTGCACTCCAGCCTGGTAACAGAGTGAGACCCCGTCCCAAAAAGAAAAATACTTTCAATGTGTAAATGAAGCTCAGTGTTACATATTTGGAAAGATTTCATCATCTCTGATTTATTCATCTCACCTTATAATTCCTATTTCTGGGTCACTGCCAGATGCTGGTAAAATATACTCTTAGTTGTATTTCACACCCTGTTTATCCAATACAGTTTTATTTTGCCAGCCACTCTGCTTAGTGCCAAGGAATAAGTCATGGTCCCACATTTAAGAATATTTCAGCCTCTCATACAAACAGTCCTCATACTGCAGTTCATGCAGTGGGTCCAAAGAATAGTCAAGCAAAAGGGGCAATAGATCCCTGCTGGCGTGGGTAACCAAGAGAGATTGTGTAAAAGAGATAGCAGTTGAACAAAACTGAGATAGATAGGATTTTTTGGTAGATTGTTATGAGGAGAACATTCTCCACCAGCTAGGGCAGCTTGAGGAAAAAGGTCTAATGTTGAAAAGCACAAAGCCATGTCTATATGGTAGAGTGTAGACCAGACTGGCTGAAATGAGGGGGCTTTGTCTAATAAAGTCCTGAGAAAAGGCTGAAGGGGGTTTGGGGACAGGATATATAAAACTGGAATACCAGGCGAAGGAGCTTGGCTTTATTCCACATAAAATTTGTTGAGTTACAGAATGATGTAGTCATCCATTATTATCATTACAGTAAGAATAACTACCCATACATTATTCCATAATTTACAGATTTACATTACCTGGCACATAGCAGGTGCTCAATAAATGTCAGTCCTTTGATCTCTTTATACTGGCATTATCTAAGCGCTCTCATCCAGTCTTGTGGCAATAAATGTGATATACACAGTTACAACTCACAAATATATATATCCAGTCTAAATTCTCTCCTCAACTCCAAACATTTCTACATACAACGATCTACTCAGTATCTCCACTTTGCATCCAGTAGGCGTCTCACATGAAACAGTCAGAACTTAATTCCTGATTCCTACTGTCCCCTAAAAACCTGCTCCTCCCATAGTCTTCCTTATCTGATTAAATGGCAGCTTCATTCTTTTTGTTCAGGCAAGAAACCTTACTGTTATCCTTGACTCCTCTTTCTCTCCTTTCTCCAACTCATAAGCAAAATCTGTTGGTTTTACTTTCAAAGTATACCCAGAATCTACTTCTCACTACCTCTACAACTGAACCCTAGCCGAAGCCACTATAATCTCTTATTCAAATTATTATAATGATATCCTACTGGCCTCTGCCTCCATCTGTGATCCCCTTCAATCTTGTTTTCAAAAAAGACAGCGATTTTTTTTTAATAAGGCAAATCACGTCACTTCTCTTTTCGAACCCTGTAATAGCTCCCCATCAGTTCAGAGTGAAAGGCCTTTCTCGATCTAACTTGCTGGCATTTCTCTGACCCCTCTCCCACTCAGTCATTTCCATTTACCTTGGCATCTTTGCTATTTGTACAACACCATGAAACATGTTCCTACTTCAGGGCCTTGCATTTGCACTTTCTTCTACTGAAATAGTCTTCCTCTAGATAGTGCTCATGCTCTCACTTCCTTCAGGTAGCTGCTCAAATACTGCCTTTTTATTGAGGCCTTTGCTGACCAACCCATATAAAATAATAGTCTTCCTTCCCTGCCCTCTCTGCCCTACCTTCCCCACCCTGCCAGACTGACAACCCCTATTCCTCTTATCCTGCTCTCTTTTTCTCCACTGAACTGTTCACTATCTGACATAATAGGTATATAGTTGTTTACTGTCTCCCTGCTACTAGAATAAAAGTTCTTAGAGGGCAAGAACTTTATTTGTTAACTAATACATTCCTGGCACCTAGGACAGTACCTGAAACCTAACTGACGCTCAGTAAATACCTGTTGAATGAATGAATGAATGATGCAAATTAACAAACAGCCTGTGAAATAATAATAATGCTCTCTTCTACTTATTGAGTTCCCCTTGTATGTTCCCATTATATGTTAAAGTGCTAGGAACTTTACAGGTATCATGTAATTGAATTCTTACAACAACCCTATGAGATTGGAGTATCCTTACTTTACAGTTAAGAAATCAAAAGCTCAAAGAAGCAGATTTCAAACTCATGTCCAAAACCTTTTATACCAGGCAGATATTATCTCCATTTTATAGCTTCAAAACTGAAACTGCAAATTAAGTGTTTTAACCAAGATCACGTAGCCAAGCAGTGGCAGAGCTGGCACTTAAATGTGACGGTAGTGATTCTTTCTGTTATATCTCACTGTTAACCTGGAAAGATGAATTAACATGGAATGAAGACCAAAGCCAGAAGAATAATTAAGGGTGTTGTAGTCTTTAAAATGAGATGATAGAAATACCACCAGGCAGGGGAAGATTGGAGAGATGATTGGATGTAAAGGTTACCAATGCCTAGACTAAGTATTTGGTAAATGGCCCATAGATTCTCCTGTCCTCTGTATACTTGGAGTCAGACAGATCTTTGTTCTAATGCTGGCACTTCCACCTGTTAGCTGAGGTACTCTGAGTACATCATTTCTCTTTTCTGTATTTCAGCTACTTCATCTTTCAAGTGAGGATAATGTCATGTGTCCTCACAGATAAATTGTGATGATAAGATCAAAAGTGATAATGAAAATACTTGGTAACTGGCAGAGGGCCATGCCATTTGAGTTGGTAATGGCTAAACTTCTTTAATCCATGTCCCAAAATTCACTACTTTTGACCTGTCTCTGGCCTTTTAAAAAATAAGTTTTTAGACACATTCTTCATTCTTAATATGACAGTGACTTGCACTTTGCCAGTTGCATTATAACAGACTCTTCCTTGGAAGAAAGTCCACTGTTTATTGCATTCCCCTTAGTAAAATGCAGTAAAAATGTGTTCTGAGTCTTGGCAATGACAGGGAGACAGCATGATGATATAACACAAAGAACCAACTATTAGGGGGGCCTTGGGCAAGTCACATAACCACACTAAACTGGTTCTTTCACCTGTAAAAGGCAGATAATAATAACCACCTTTGCGCTGGATATAAGAATTAAGTGAAGGCCAGGTGCAGTGGCTCACACCTATAATCTCAACTCTTTGAGAGGCCAGGGCAGGAGGATCGCTTGGGCCCAGGAGTTCAAGACCAGCCTGGGCAACATAGAGAGACACCCCCATCTCTATAAAAAATAAAAATTTAAAAATAAAGAATTAAGTGAGGTAATGTGAGGACACAGACATGGCACATGGTACATTCAAGACATGTGAGGCTTTAAGATGTGTAGACCTTGTGCTGGGAAAGAATAGCACAGCTCACCAACTAGACCTACCTCTGGGTGTATAGGATGACATCACACCATCTCACTTTCACTCCTACTTTCCTCTAAGGAAGCATATTCTGTCTTCTCTCAACATTACTTTTTTCCACAAAGCAAAATCCTCTCAGCTAGGGTTACATGGAAATGTGACCAAACATCCAAGAAGTTTTGAGTGACTTTTGTTGGTAGAATTTTCTGCCTAGTTTTAAGAACAGTTGGGCCTGAGCCTTCCAAGAGGTGGTGGATCTCCGATGTGAAAGTTTTCTTTGAAATTTTTATGGCTGATTTCAGGACCTCTTCAGTTTTTACAGCCTTTTCCAGCTTTCAGTTAGACAGAGGAATTAACAATTACTAATGTTCTGTTCCACGCCAGACCTTGTGCAGACATTTCAGAAAGTATTCTGTCATTTAATTTTCATTCAACCCTAAAGCATAGATAGTAGTCCTATTTTACAGGTTAGACAACTGGGGCTAAGAGATATTAAGTGCTATTTCCAGCACCACACACATAGTAACTGAGATAATTGGGATTCTAACCTCCAAAGTCTATGCTCTTTACCCTAAACAGAAAACATTTTCATATAATGTGTTGGGGGTCCCCAAGACTATCTCTAAGTTCAGTGATTTCCTGGGAAGACTCACAGGACTCAGCATATAATCACACTTGTGGTTATGAGTTGTTACAGCAAAAGGATACAAAGCAAAATTATTGAAGAAAAAAGGTACATGGGCAAAGTCCAGGGGAAACCAGGCACAACCTTCCAAGGGTCCTCTCGATGGAATCATACAGGACGTGTTTAATTACCTCCAGCAGTGATTTGAGACAACACATGTGAAATGTTGCCAACCAAGGAAGCTTATAGGGACTCTGCCCAGGGCTTTTATTGGGTGCTGAACACATAGGTATACTCTGCCAGACATATACCAAAATGCCAGACTCCCAGAAGGAAAGCAAGTGTTCATCATAAACTATATTGTTTGCACAAACAGTTTAGGCATAATGAGCTACTCTTATCAGTTCTGGGAATAATGGTAACCCTTCTCAAACCCAAGTTTCTAGTTGCCAACCTTGTAAGCAGGCCTCTCAAACAGTAGCAGTCCTGCTGTGTTAACCTTTCTCTGAAT